>NC_000003.12:110978301-111281331 GCF_000001405.40 Homo sapiens
AGAGTATATTAAGTGTATATTAGGGGATATCTCATGGCGTAACTCAGATATAAAAAATATAATAAAGAAATATTATAGGCTAGGTGTAGTAGATCATGCCTGTAATCCCAGTTCTTTGGGAAGCGGGTGCAGCAGAATCCCTTGAAGCTAGGAGTCTGAGACCAGCCTGAGCAACATAGAAAGACCCTATAGCTACAAAAAAATAAAAACATTAGCTGGGTATGGTGGCAGGTGCCTGTAGTACTAGCTACTCAGGAGGCTGATGTGGGAGGATTGCTTGAACCCAGAAGTTCACGGTTACAGTTAGATATGATTGCACCACTGCTCTCCAGCCTGGGTGTGAGAATGAGACCATGTCTCAAAAAAAAAAAAAAAAACAGAAATATGAATAACTTTATGTCAATAATTTGGATAACATCATTGAAATGAACTAATTTCTTGAAAGACAAATAGTCCAAACTAATACAAAAAAAAAAAAAAAAAGAAAATCTGGCTAGGTGCTATAGCTCACACCTGTAATCCCAACACTTTGGGAGACTGAAGCAAGAGGATCGCTTGAGCCCAGGAGTTTGACACCAGGCTGGGCAACATAGTGAGAACCCATCTCTAAAAAAAATACAAAAATTTGCCAGGTGTGGTGGTAGGCAACGGGAATCCCAGCTACTCAAGAGACTGAGGTGGGAAGATCCCTTGAGCCCAGCAGGTTGAGGCTACATTGAGCAGTAATCATGCCACTGCACTCCAGCCTAGGTTGCAGAGTGAGAACCTGTCTCAAAAAAGAAAGAAAAAAGAGGGCCGGGCGTGGTGGCTCACGTCTGTAATCCCAGCACTTTGGGAGGCTGAGGTGGGTGGATAACAAGGTCAGGAGTTCAAGACCAGCCTGGCCAAGATGGTGAAACCCTGTCTCTACTAAAAATACAAAAATTAGCTGGGCGTGGTGGCGGGTACCTGTAATCCTAGCTACTCAAGAGGCTGAGGCAGAGAATTGCTTGAACCCAGGAGGCAGAGGTTGCAGTGAGCCAAGATTGCACCACTGCACTCCAGCCTGGGCGACAGAGTGAGACTCTGTCTCAAAAAAAAAAAAAAAAAAAAAAAGAAAGAAAGAAAGAAAGAAAGAAAATCTGAATAATGGTATATAAATTAAGGAAATTTAATTTAAAACCTTCCCACAAGAAAACTTTAGTTCTTCCCACAAGAGCTTTAGTTCATGTCATACATTTTGGTTTTATTTTTTGTTTCAGTCTACATTCTGGGGAGGTGAGGTTACTGGCAAAGTTATAAGTAGGTAAGGTATTACTGTACATAAGTAGTATAATAAAATTACTAAATATAATTAATTTAAATAAACTTTAGTAAATTTTAAACGAATGATACTAAGCCAAAACTCCTTCAGTTCCAGTGTTTTCTTTTTGGCCTATATATTTTTTCATCATTTGGAAAGTAAACTAAAGATATTTTTAGTTGAGCGAAGATCTAAATTCAAACAAAATGGATTCCTTTGGGAAAACTACTAATAGCATCATTGAAATTTTGAGCTCAGCCTGAAGCTATTCTTTGCACTGGATTGAAAATAGCCATATCATAATTTGTAAGGAAAGAATATACTCAAAATATGGTCTAAGAAGGGTCAGAAGATAGATATTTAACTTTAGAGCCACATACATTGTGGTTGCATCTTAAAAACCTAACAAGTATTCTAATTGTCTATGAATATCATCTCTCTCTATATCCCAGACTATCATCACATTGCTTTAAGCTACAAAATTAAAAGTCCACTGGTGTAAACTATTAATGTCTTTGGGAAAGCATATAGGAGACAAATTCTGTAATATTTGAATTATATATAATGAACATGTATTGCTCCTGTACTTAAAAAAAAGAGAGCATGGAAAAAAAAACAAGATAAGATTTATACAATCTGCTAGATGTTCAAATTACACTGGAATAAAGTTGAAGTTCTAGTAATTCGGAAGTTGTGTGACAATTAGCTATTGAAGAAAATGGCTTTTATAACAAGAGCTAGCTCTAAAGCACTGTGTGGGCCTCAGCAAATCAAGTGTCTACTACATTTTTCTACAGGTTAAAATACCTTAACAAGAAGATCAAAGACTATCTTAGGAAGCAAAAAAAAAATAAATATGTAAATATTGTATATCTATATATTTGTACATTTTTGCTTATGTCGGTATATAGACATTGAAAAAGATCAGCCTTGCCCTAAGGACATGATAAAAACAGAGTGTATACTCTCAACCAATTTTTACTTGGTGAAAACTGATGTCTGAAGATAGGTTAGGAGGATGGATGCCATGGGTTTTCTTTTCTTTTATTCTTCTGACTACCTTCTGTAACACTGACAAATCATCATATTCTTGTACTAAAGTTCTAATATAGGTAGAGTTGACTTTATTTTTAGGACTATCATTACCACAAGCAAAAGAAATGTTAATTTGCTTGTGTTGTCTTTTTTCCAGCTTCTTCAGAATAGGAAGGAAATTGATTTAAGATAGAGGTATTTTTTCTGCTTTTCCCATAACAGGCCTATGTTATAATTTATAAACAAACCAAATTTGTCAGTTGCTTTTAACTCATTATTTAAATACAAAACAGTTATTTTTGGTGGTTGTTGCTTTTTTTAGAAAAATTGTGTCTGTACACATTCAGTGTAATCTTGAATTCCAACTTTGATTTAGTAATCAGCAAATTTTCATTTGAAATTCTGAAGAACAGTATGAGTAAATGTTGTTACTGTTTTCTTCCTCTCTCTCTTTTATATATTAAATATGTTATATTTAAAGTTGAAGTTGAAATCTTGGGCAATTCATATATGAAGTGATGGGAATTATATTGTAATCAACATATTGGAGTTTGTGTTTCCTAACTGTGCTATTATGTTTACATGCAGAATATTAAGTGGAGGGCTTTCTAAGAAGGAGGCATTCTAAGTAAATTTAACCTTGAAAAATGAATTATCTCTTCAACTATTTACAGCCTTTTATGAATATTTACAGAATTTATAGAAGAATTGCTAGAGAATGTGCTGGAAAATCTAGGGAAATATTGCTTTAAAAAATAACCTTAACATTTAACATTGTCTATATTTCATTGATTTCCTTAGCAGAAGTTTTATAAAGCCAAATTTGCCTGTACATGTTTTCCAGCACGTAATATTTGAAAAAAATCATTCCACTGGAAATGATGACAAGTGAATTATCTTATAATTCACCCTGGCCATAGCCATTAGTCTGGCTTCAATATCATGAATATTGGTGCAAGGACCAGGCAGTAGATACCAAATCAAACCACGACAACTGCAGCAACAGGTGAAAGCAGGCATGGGACTCCAAAAATTAGATTCTTCCCTTAACATTTGATTTAGAACCATAGAATGCTGAAGATTGATATAACTGAGGACCAAAGAGATGAGTGCAGAAGGATAATTTCTTAATTCCTCCTCCCCTGAACCTACTGTTTTCCTAGTTACCTCCTATAGGAGGGCCTCCACTGCCAACAGTGGAGTTACCAAAAATCTCAAACAGAAACACTGATTTTTTTTTAAGATCAAAAGCCTTGATCCAGATGTAATGTGGAAAATATTGAAAAATTATACCATCAGATTTATGTTTTCTTAACTCTTCTGCAACCAATATAAAAGCCCTGTTTGAATATTGTTGTTGCTGCCATTTTCTCAGCACACCAATCTTCATATTTCTCCAGTGATGGGTTTGCGTGTAGTGTGGGGCATGGAAGTGCTGAAGGGCTCTTCTCAGTGTCCCTGCTCTACAACTAGATTTCATCAGACCCTGAACACACATGCCTCAGAGGGCATGTCTCTCCATATGCTTGCCCCCTCCCTCAGCAGTAGACTTTTATTGCTTATTATTTGGTGCTAAGCTAATGCTGGGAACTGTAGTAATGCCCCGTTCTTCTGGTCTAGCCTTAGTGTTAGGCAGAATCTGTGCACCTGGGCCTTGGAAACAGGGCCCTCTTAGCATGCCTGCCTCTATCTCCTTGCAAACAAACCTCCTCTTGTTTCTGGCAGCTCCAAGAACAGTTATTATTGTTCTTTTTCCTTGACCTCCAATCTTTCTTGTGAGCATCCAGTGTAAGCCCATGGAGAAGATTTTGTAAATGACTGTGAATGGAGCTCCCAGTTATTCTAAATTGATATGCTAGCCCACACTTGGCATTTAGAAATGTGTTGAAATTTTAGCTGCTCTCTTCCCTGCTTTCATGGAAGCCACCTCTTCCTCCCATACTGTGCTAAAGATGAAACAGATCATGTGCCCTATCCCTGCACAGAGGGGCTTGATACTTATTGGGATTCAATTCCCTTAACTGTTTTGCAACTTCAGTTATATGATGAGTTTAAGAAAAGATTTTTTTTAGATTATATCTGGACTTTTCTTCTTGTTAGTATGGGGGCAACATTTTTTTGCATTTTTCTACATCCTTAAGCAGAAGTGGAACCTCCAGTTTTTCATTATTATCTAAAATAAAACATTCTTAAAACTTTCTTATAAAATTTTTAAATCAGACTTTAATATTCACAGTGAATTGAAAGAAAATGAGGAACAACAGTGTCTTTGCCTACAGAACTTTCTCTGGATTTTTCCTCAAAGGACTTAGAAAAAAAACATTATTGCTTTAGGCCAAATACCCTGCTGGTAAGCTCTAAAAGATGAGTGTAAGAAGTGTTTCCTCTAGCTTCGCATAGTCAGGCCTGCATAACTCAGGGTCCTGATCACTCAGTATTGACAGTCAAGAATTTTGTCCAGAAAAATTCCTTAGACCAACAAAAACCGTGATGGTTTGGCACTGGACTATGAAAATCTCTAAAGAGATTTTAGTTACGAAGTGGCTTTTGTGTAACATCAAGATAGGCTTGCTTGGGTAAACCAAACCATTAGAAGAGATATGTAGGATGGACCTATGTGCCTTAAAGATTCAAAAGTCACTCCTATGAAGACGGCCAACAAAGAGGGGACAACATCTTCAAAAGATTCTGATTAAAATGCTTACGTTTTCCCAGATAGAGTATCCTACTAGGGATGTCCCTTTACTGTGTCTCTCCTTTGCATGTGTAGAAACCTTCTTTTTAAATTGATTTATTCATTTAACAAATAATGTTGAGTGTTTACCATGTTCTAGGCACTGCCCTGGGCTGTTGGACTATATCAGATCACAAAACCAAGATTCTTACCTATGATATGGAGTTTCCATTCTAGTAATGGAAGTCAGAATTAAACAATATATGTAGAGGGGGCAGAGCAAGATAGCTGAACAGAAGCCTCCAGCAATCATTCCCCACACAGTGACACAATATTGAACAACTATTCACACTAAATGCCCCATGGAGGGGGCATTTAAACCAGCCCAGGCCAAAGGCAAGTTGTCCATGCCACCAGTCAGAACTGGAGTTCTGGGAAGCCCCCGTGCCACGTGCTAAAGTGCTCTAGGGTCCCAAATAAACTTGAAAGCAGTCTGGGCTACAAGAACTGCAATTCCTGGGCAAGTCTTGGTATTGTGCTGGGTTCAGAGCCAGTGGAATTGGGATGCACATTACCTAGTGAGACACGAGCAAGGGAAGCCAAGGGAGTGCTTCTGATACCCTTCCTCAACCTTAGGCAGTTCAGCTTGCAGCTCCAAGGGAGA
This sequence comes from Homo sapiens, assembly GCF_000001405.40. Lineage (NCBI taxonomy): Eukaryota > Metazoa > Chordata > Mammalia > Primates > Hominidae > Homo > Homo sapiens. The sequence goes on from NC_000003.12 coordinate 110,983,957, forward strand.
ATCCTTCTTTCTGCTTCAGGAGAGGAGAGTGGAGAGTAAAGAGGATTTTGTTTTATAACTTGGATACCAATTTAGCCACAGTAGAATAGGGTACCAGGTAGTCCTCAGAGTCTCAACTCCAGTCCCTGGGTCCCAGACAGCATCTCTGGAACTTCCCATGGTCCAGAGGAACTCTCCACGCTGAAGAGAAGGACACAAGCCTTCCCTAGATTCCGCACTTGCTGGTTGTAGAGCCCATGGGCCTTGAGTAAACATAGGCAGTAGCCAGACAGTGGTCACCACCAGCCTCGGGCAAGACCCAGTGCTGTGTTGGCTTCATATCTGACCCAGCAGAGGCCTAGTGGTGTTGGCCACAGAGGTGCTTATGGCACCCCTCCTCCAGCTCCAGGGAGTTCAGCACAGAGAATGAGACTCCTTTTGGAGAAAAGTAAGGGAAGAGAACAAAAGTCTCAGCCTGCTAATCCAGAGAATTCTGCCAGCTCTTACTCAAGACCAACAAGGGAGTACTTCTAGAAGTCCCCAATAACCACAGTATTACTGGGCTTAGGGTGCCCCTAATACAGTGACCAAAGACTTAGAACACAACACCCAAGTCCCTTTAAATTCTTGGAAAGCTTTCCCAAGAAGGACAAGTACAAACAAACTCAGGCTGTGAAGACTACAATAAATACCTAACTCTTCAATGCCCAGAAACTGACAAGCATCCACAAGTATCAAGACCATCCAGGAAACATGACCTCACCCAATAAACTAAATAAGGCACCAAGGACCAATCCTGGAGAGAGAGATATGTGACCTTTCACACAGAGAATTCAAAATAGCTGTTTTGAGAAAGCTCAACACAATTTAAGATAACACAGACAAGGAATTCAGAATCCTACCAGATAAATTTAACAAAGAGATTGAAATAATTAAAAAGAGTCAAGCAGAATTTCTGGAGCTAAAAAATGCAATTGACATATGGAAAAATGCATCAGAGTCTCTTAACAGCAGAATTCATCAAACAGAAGAAAGTATTCGTGAGCAAATGTTGGAGGCCGAAGGAATGAGGGTCATGATCAACTCAGTATACCGCTGGAGGCTATATGAGCAAACAGCAAACTGTTCTCATGAAAGCAGGATGTTGGCAAGCTGGCAAACTTTGTCTGCCACCCAGAAGGAATACTGAGTGCAGTCACGCCCCAGGCACAGTGTTTCTGGTGATTATCTACAGGCACATCTGAAGCCTGTTAGCAATCATGTGAACCTGTGATAAATCAAGCAGCTGGCCAACATTAGCTCCTCCTCCCTGCTCTTTCTACCTAATAAATATGAAGGGCTGTGGAAGCTCAGGGCCCTTGCTCACTAGAAGCAAGGAGCCCCCTGGCCCCTTCTTTAAAACAGATTATTTTATCTTAGTTTTCATTTCTGCATTCATCCCCTTTCATTCAGAACCGTAGTAACCATCACAAGCAAATAGCAGGCTATTTGGAAACATATAGTCAGAAGAGACAAAATAAAATAAAATAAAATAAAATAAATAAATAACGTATGCCTACAAGATCTAGAAAATAGCCTCAAAGAAGCAAATTCAAGAGTTATTGGCTTTAAAAAGGAGGTAGAGAAAGAGAGAAAGGGGTAGAAAGTTTATTCAAGGGATAATAACAGAGAACTTCCCAAACCTAGAGAAACATATTAATAGTCAAGTACAAGAAGGTTATAGAACATCAAGTAGATTTAACTCAAATAATACTTACCTCAATACATTAAATAGACTCCCAAAGGTCAAGGATAAAGAAAGGATCCTAAAAGCATCAAGAGAAAAAAAATAACATACAAAGGAGCTCCATTTTGTCTGCCAGCAGACTTCTCAGTGGAAACCTTCAGGCCAGAAGAGAGTGGCATAACATATTTAAAGTGTTGAAGAAAAAAATCTTTTATCCTAGAATGATATATCTGGTGAAAATATCCTTCAAACATGAAGGAGAAATACAGACTTTCCCATACAAAAGCTGAGGCACTTTAACAATACCAGACCTGTCCTATAAGAAATGCTAAAGAAAGTTCCTCCATCTGAAAGAAAAGGATGTTAAGGAGAAATAAGAAGTCATCTGAAGGTGCAAAACTCCCTGGTAATAGTAAGTACATAGAAAACATTGTATCACTGTAATTGTGATGTGCAACTATTCATATCTACAGTAGAAAGACTAAAAGATGAACCTATCAAAAATAACTTTGAAAACAACTTTTCAAGACATAGTATATATAATAAGATGTAAATAGAAACAACAAAAAGTTAAAAAGTTGTGTGGGGGATGGTGTAGAATTTTTATAAGTTGTCTCATTGTTAGTTTCTTTATCCAATCAGTGTTAGGTTGTCATCTGTTTAAAATAATGGCTTATAAGATATTATTTGCAAGCTTCATGGTAACTCAAATCAAAACACCTACAATAGATGCATAAAAAATCAAAAGCAATAAGTGAAAATATACCACCAGAGAAAATCACCTTTAGTAAGAGGAAGATGGGAAAGAAGGAAGAGAAGAGCACAAAACAACTAGAAAACAAATAATAAAGTGGCAGGAGTAAGCCCTTACTTATCAATAAAAACACTGAATGTAAATGGACTAAACTGTCCTATCAGAAGAGATAGAATGGCTTAATGGATAAAAAAAACAAGAGCCAATGATCTGTAGTCTACAAGAAACCCATATCACCTATAAATACAAACAGAAAGTATCATAAAGGAATGGAAAAATATATTTCATGTAAATGGAAACCAGAAAAGAGCAGAAGTGGCTATACTTATATCAGACAAAATAGATTTCCAGACAAAAACTATAAAAGGAGTCAAAGAAGGTAATTATACAATGATAAAGTGTCAATTTTGTCAAAAAAGAGAATATAACAAATGTAAATATACATGCACCCAATATTGGAACACATAGATATATAAAGCAAATATTATTAGAGCTAATGAGAGAGACAGACCTCAATAAAGTAACAGTTGGAGACTTCAGCACCCCACTTTTAGCATTGGACAGATCATCCAAACAGAAAGTCAACAAAGAAACATCAGGCTTAAGCTGCACTGTAGACCATATTAACCTGATAGATATTCAAGAGTGATAGTGATTCAATGTCTGCAGAATACATTTTCTCCTCAACACATGGATCATTCTCAAGCATAGACCATAGGTAAGGCCACAAAACAAGTCTTTAAAATTTCAAAAAATTGAAGTTATATCGAGTATCTTCTTCGACCAAAATAGAATAAAAGGAGAAGTCAATAACAACAGAAACTTTGGAAACTATACAAACACATGGAAATTAAACAGTATCTTCCTGACTTCTGAACAGCAATTCAAGGAAGACATTAAAAAGAAAATATTAAATTTCTTGAAACAAATGAAGATGGAAATACATCATACCAAAACATTTGGGATAGAGCAAGAGCAGCAATAAGAGGAAAGTTTATGACAATAAGTGCTTACATTGGAAAAGCTTTTAAAAATCCAAATAAACAACTTAACAATGCATCTTAAAGAACTAGAAAAGCAAGAGCAAACCAAACCCAAAATTAGCAGAAGAAAAGAAATAGTAAATATCAGAGCAAGAATAAATGAAATTGAAACCAAAAATAATACCAAAGATCAACAAAACAAGAAGTTAGTTTTATGAAATGGTAAGCAAAATTAGCAAACCTTTAGCCATATTAAATAAGACAAAAAGAGAGAAGACTCAAATAAATACAATCAGAGATGAAAAATGAGACATTACAACTGATACTGCACAAATGCAAAGGATCATTAGAGGCTGCCACGAGCAACTACTAATTTATGACAATAAATTGGAAAACCTATAAGAAATGGATAAATTCCTAGACACATACAGCCTACAATCATTGAGCCAGGAAAAAATCCAAAATCTAAATAGACCAATAACAAGTAATGAGACTGAAATCATATAAAACATCTCCCAGCAAAGAAAAGCCCAGGACCCAATGGCGTCACTGCTGAATTTGATCAAACATTTAAAGAACTAAATTCAATCCTACTCAAACTTTCCAAAAATAGAGAAGGAGGTAATTGTTCCAAACTCATTCTACAAGGCTAATATTACCATGATACCAAAACTGGAAAAAAACACATTAAAGAAAAGACAATATCTTTGGTGAACATTGATGCAAAAATTCTCCACAAAATGCTAGCAAACCAAATTCAATAACACATTAAAAATAACATCCAGCATGACCAAGTGGGATTTATCCCAGGGATGTAAGGACAGTTCAACATACATCAATCAATGAATGTGATATGTTACATCAGCAGAATGCAGGACAAAAAAAGGGTATGATCATTTCCATTGATACTGAAAAAGCATTCGATAAAATTCAACATACCATCATGATAAAAACCCTAAAAAAAACTGGGGATAGAAAGACCTTACTTCAAAACAATATAAACAATATAAGCTATAAATCGCAGACCCACAACTACTATACAAATCACACAAGAAAAGAAATAAAGGACATCCAATTGGAAAGGAAGAAGTCAAATTATCCTTCTTTGCAGATGATGTGATTTTATATTTGGAAAAACCTAAAGACTCCACCAAAAACACTATTAAAACTGATAAACATATTTGGTAAATTTTCAGGAAACCAAAGGCAACATACAAAAATCAGTAGCATTTCTATATGCAGTGAACTATCTAAAAAAGAAATCAAGGGAGTAATCCCATTTACAACAGCTACATATAAAATTAGACAAGTCTTAAGAATAAATTTAACCAAAGAAGTGTAAGATATCTACAATGAAAACTATAAAACACTGATTCAAGAAATTGAAGAGGACACAAAAAAGTGGAAAGATATTTCATGTTTATGGATTGGAAGAATCAATATTGTTAAAGTGTTCATACTACCCAAAGCAATCTACAGATTCAATGCAATCCCTATAAAAGTACCAATGACATTCTCTACAGAAATAAAAATAATAATAATCCTAAACTGTATGTGGAGCCACAAAAGACCCAGGAAAGCCAAAGGCATCCTGAGCAAAAGGAACAACAGTGTAGGAATCACATTACCAGACATCAAATTATACTACATAGCTATAATAACCAAAACAGCATGGTACAGGCAGAAAAAAACAGACATAAAAACCAATGGAACACAATAGAGAACACAGAAATAAATTTATACATCTACAGTGAATTCATTTTCAACAAAGGTGTCAAGAACATACATTGGGAAAAGGACAGTCTCTTCAATAAATGGTGCAGGGAAAATTGGATAGCCATATGCAGAATGAAACTAGACCCCTATCTCTCACAATATACAAAAATCAAAACAAAATGGATTATATACTTAAATCCAAGACCTAAAACTATGAAACTACTAAAAGAAAACATTGGGGAAAGTCTTTAGGAAATCTGAATAGGCAAAGATTTATTAGTTAATACACCCAAAGCACAGGTAAACAAAGAAAAAATGGATAAATGGGATCACATCAAGTTAAAAGGCTTCTCTACAGCAAGGAAACAATCAACAAAGTGAAGAAACAACCCACAGAATAGGAGAAAATATTTGGAAACTATCCATCTGACAAGGAATCAATAAGCAAAGTATGCAAGAAGCTCAAACAACTCAATAGGAAAAGATCTAATAATCCAATTTAAAACGGTTAAAAGAGCTGAATAGACATTTCTCAAAAGAAGACACACAAATGGCAGACATATGGAAAGGTGTTCAACTTCACTAATCATCAGAGAAATGCAAATTAAAACTACAACGAGGTATCATCTCGCCCCAGTAAAATTTGCATTTATCCAAAAGTCATGCAATAACAAATGCCGGTGAGGATGCGGAGAAAAGAGAATCCTCATACACTGTTGGTGGGAATGTAAATTAGTACAGCCAAGATGGAGAACAGTATAGAGCTTCCAGAGGAAAATAAAAATAGAGCTATCATATGACCCAGCAATTCCACTACTGGTTCTTTATCCAAAGGAAATGAAGTCAGTATGTCAAAGAGATATCTGCACTCTCATGTTTATTGCAGTACTATTCGCAACAGCAAAGATCTGTAAGCGACCTAAGTGTTCATCAGCAGATGAATGGATAAAGAAAATGTGGTACATAAACACAATGAAGTACTATTCAGCCATAAAAAAGAATAATATCCTGTCATTTGCAACCACATGGTTGCTTATTGCACTAAGTTAAATAAGGCAGGTACAGAAAGACAAACTTCACATATTCTCACCCATTTGTGGGATCTAAAAATTAAAACAATTGAACTGATGAAGACTGAGGGTAGAATGATTGTTACTGGAGGCTGGGAAGGGTAGTAAGGGGAGGGGGAGTTGGAATGGTTAATGAGTACAATAACAGCATGAATGAGATCTAGTATTTTATAGCACAACAGAGTAACCACAGTCAAGAATAATTTATTGTACGTTTAAAAATAACTAGGAGTGACCAGGCTTGGTGGCTCATGCCTGTAACCCCAGCACTTTGGGAGGCCGAGGTGGGTGGATCACCTGAGGTCAGGAGTTTGAGACCAGCCTGGCCAACATGGCAAAACCCTGTCTCTATTTAAAAAATACAAAAATTATCCAGGCATAGTGGTGCACACCTGTAGTCCCAGCTACTTGGGAGGCTGAGGAAGGAGAGTTGCTTGAACCCAGGAGGCGGAGGTTGCAGTGAGATGAGATCATGCTACTGCACTCCAGCCTGGGCGACAGAGTGAGACTCCATCTCAAACAATAAATAAGTAAATAAATAAATAAATAAATTTTTTAAAAACTAAGAGTATAATTGGAATGTTTATAACACAAAGAAATTATAAATGCTTGAGATAATGGATACTCTATTTACCCTGATGTGATCAGTACACATCGTATGCCTTTATCAAAATATCTCATGTACTCCATAAATATATACACCAACTATACACTCATAATTTTTTAAAAAAACTAATGTATATGACTAAAAATTAAATGGCATAATATGAGGAAAGTTGTAAGTGCTATAAAAATAAACAACAAGTCAGGGTAGTCAAAAGTGGTTGGAGTAGTAAGTTTTAAGTAGCGTAATCAGCGTAGACTTCTGTGCAAATACGTCCTTTGAGCAAAGACTTGGAAGAGGTAAGGGAGCTAGCCATGCAGATAACTGGGAAAAGAATGTTCCTGGCAAAGGGAACAGCCAGCAGAAGACCCAGAGCGGGAATGTGCCCAGCGCGTTCCAAGAACAGTAGGAAGGCCAGCGAAAGAAAAGTAGTAGGAGTGTATGTAGAGGGGTGATAGATGAAATAAATGCAAGTAGCATGGCTTATCTGGACATGTTGTTTCTAATCCCCATGGTAAATCCCCCCTTTGTTGGTGAATGATTCTTTTCTTTTTCTATCTGGCTTTTTAAATACAGGAGATATTTATAATGTTCATATGGGAAGTCACCAGACAGAGAGTGATTCAAAGAAACATAATTCTGTCCCAGATTCATAATACAGAAGTTAATAGAACAATTGTTACCAGGTAATTGAAGCAGGTCACCATCTAGAAACTTTGAAATAAAAGCAGGTCAGAGAATTTGGTTGCTATCTGTGTAAAAACACATTAAGATCAGAAACAAATAGAGAAATACAGATGATTAATAAGCAAAATAACCAAAAGAATCAGTCTTTTTGGTCATCACCAAGAAATAATTTTCTACTATTAACATAAATTATTTCTATATAATCTATTTTGAAATATTACAAGTTTGATATACTCTTATTCACTGTTACCAAAGATAGAGGAACAGAAATTCTCCTACCATGTATTGGGAACATAAATAGGTTACAATTCCACTGGAGGACAATTGGAAATACATCAGCAGCTCTCTTAACTGGTCTCTTCTTAAACATCTTTCTAGATTAACTGGAACTCACCATTCCCTCTACAAAGCACCAGGTACTCTCTGCATGCAGAACACTTGAAGCTAGCAGGCTTCTCTCAAGTTCACCTAAGAATTGCTTCTTTCTCAATGGTTAGTGACCAAAGGGATTTATCTACTGAGAGTCAGTTTTGTTTTTCCTAAACTTACTCATTTCAGTTGTGTTCTTTATTATAATGCTTATTTAATAAATATTATACAGTATGATGAGATTAAAAAGTGATTTTTTTAATGAAAACTAAGTGCTTTGAAAACGCTCAATGAATATGCATTTCATAAGAAAACAAAAAGAAAATTGTCAGATGTGGGTGAGTCAAACTCAAAATAAAATTGTAAAAATCTTGAATTTCAAGTGCTTTAAGTTCTCTCTCCATTTTAAACAAATTGAAACTAGAATCGTGAATTATTTATTCATTCTACTTGTGATTTATGAGAGGAAGATGACTTAGAACTCCAAGCGGTAGAATTTACTAATAACAAAAAACAAACAAAACCTTGGCCCAACATAAAAATATTGCCAAGTGAAGTCATAAAAAGCAAATTTTATATATATATATGTATCATTTTAAAAGATCTACTGCTTTAAACAACTTCTTTAACCTATCACTCATATTGGGTGAGATGGCTTCTAATGTATATGTCAAAAACGTTTAAACAATATGGACATGTTTCCAACCTAATAATGAAAAAAAATCACACAAATTCCAATTGAAGGACATTCTACAAATTAGCTAACTGGTACTTTTCAAAAGTACCAAGGTCATGAAAAACAATTTGAAAAAGATTAAAAAAACATGACGACTAAATGTGACATGCATTTATGGATTGGATTCTTAACAGAAAAAAAGACATTAGTCTTATAATACTACTAATTGTAGCTCAATTAAGAGTATTTATCAGTGTTAATTTCCTAGTACTGATAAATGTACTATGGGTAAGATGTTAACCATTAGGGGAAGCTGGATGTAGAGTATAGAGAAACTGTCTGCACTATCTTTGCAACTCTAATTCTAAAACTATTTCAAAATAAAATTAAACATATATATATATGAAAAATGCCCTTTACCCAGTTCCAGACACTCTACAACTGATAATTTACATAAGGGAATAAAGATATGTGCAAAAATTTAGCCACAAGATGTTAATTGGAAGTAAAAGTACAAAATAGGTTTTTTTTTTGTTAAGAATCCAATCCATAAATTCATTAAGCATTACAATCAGTGAAATATTCCATAGTTACTACAATGATATTTTAGAGGTATAATGATATAGAAAAAATATAATATATTATTAAGTGAATATCTATATATATATTTAAAAAGTCTGTAGAGTATAAATCCATTTGTTTGTGTATGTAGACACTCCCACAGAAAAATACACATATATACTCACACAAACATGCATAGAAAAATCTTTGAAAGACCAAAGACATTATAGTAATAGTGATCACTGCTACATTTGGGAATCATTGTTGCTTCATTTTCCCCTAATTTTAATAATTATTGATTAAGCATTAAACTGTGTTTTAATACTAATTTAACTGTGTCCATTGAAATAGAACTTCAAATACTTTTTTCTTCCTTTCTTCTTTTTTGGTATGCCCACAGGTGGAACGTTCCATCCCTCTGTCTTTCTCCCTATTTCTCTCTTCCTCTTTCTTTCTTGCTCTCTCTCCTTCCCTCCTTCCCCACTCCCCCTTTCTTCTTTCCCTCTTGCCTTTCCCATCCTTTTCCTTCCTTCTTTCCTTCCTTCATTTGTCAAGAGAAACTAATGCTACTAGCCATATCTTTGAGATTACTTGAAGGAAACATATTTGCATAAGATTAGTGGCTTCCTGAGATATGTAAAAGTATAAGAGCTTAAACCATGGTCCCCCCAAGACTCAAGATTATTAAAACTTGTCAGATTAGGATAACCCCAACAGTGATTCAGCGACAATGAAAGGCAAAGAAGCCACAGAAATTTGGTCACCATGAGGGCAGAAAAAGCTAAGCCCAAGCCACATGACTGTTGGGAGAAGAGTGGTTCTGCATAGGTGAGGGGGCCCAGGCATATCCCAAATTAGTCTTTCCATGGGCAGCCTTATGTCTTCCTGAAGTAACTATGTGCATAAATCTAAAGAACTAGAATATTGGGACCTCAGGACAATTTCATTATGGAACACCACTGTCCTCAGAGAGTACTGAGGAGGTTGTTAGGGAGAAAGGTTATCCTTCTCAGAAATATTGAAGAATCACTCGGCAGTGATCTGCAATGGTTGATACAAAAGTTACTGGATTTTACAGTTCATCATCATAAGTCTCATCTTACAGTACATTGCTAAAACTTATTCAGTAATATTTGTTAAAGCACAGTAAGGAAGACTTTATTCAGGACAATCATAATAGGTATAGAGGCCACTGCAACTGGGTCTTGCAGTGAAAGAGAGAAATTGAGCTCAACTCTGAAAATAGCATGGGCAAGTGGGAGTTTATAGCCAAGGAGCAAGGTGGGAGTCAGTTGACAGAAAATTATTAAGCAGAAACATCAGGGCTTAGAGGGATTCTGGCTAAGCTGACCTAACAGGATTCTAGCTGAAGACAGGCTGAAGTGATCATTTATCACTTGGGGAATAGTGGAGGATGAGGAACCCAATCAGATATTGAGGATGATCAGATGTTTGAGGGGGTGGTTCTTGCTAAACTGACTTAGTTGGGTTCTTTACTAAAACTGGATTTTACAAGGAAGTACACAGATGGATGCGTTGGAGAAGGCAGTGGTTTTTAAGAGTAACCAACATCTACTGGCATTTGCGAAATCCTCCAGCTCAAGAGGTAGGATTGCTAGATTTAGCAAACTAAAATACAAAATGCTCAGTTAAATTTGAATTTAGGTAAACAATGAATAATTTTGTTAGTGTAACTATGTCTCAAACTTTGCATAGGACATGCTTATACTAAAAAATTATTTGTTGTTTATCTGAAATTCATGATTAACTGGGCATCCATTTTCCAGCAACTCTATCAGGTGATGAACCCAAATTCACACTCTAGCAGGGTAATTATATATTACTTCTCATTTTTCTAACTTAAAATATTACTAAAGAAAATATTATAATAGAAAACATTAGCATTAGACTTCATGGTGTCTTTAATACCTTGTCAAGTAGATACTACAAAAAAGAGAAAAGATAGCAGATGGCAGCTGAGCTCACTTTTTAAGAGGGGTCCTATTACTCTTGAGCTAGGAGTCATTGCATATTAGATTTAAAGGAGAACTTTAACCATAGGAATTGTTTTGGGCATTTTAATTGCATGAAAAATAAAAGCAGTAGAGCTAGCAACAAGACAAAAATAGGCCCAGCCCTTGGAATACAAAAGGGAGGTTAGGTGAGTTGTCAGGGAGAGAGATTGGATTTCTTGTTCTCCTACTAATATAAATTAGTAAAGTCAAATATAATGCTTGGAAATGTGGTTCACTGCTGGGGGCAGTTATTCATACCCAAGCTATAAGTCAGGACACCTCCAATTACATCTACAATGATCACTTGGAAAATAAAGAATTAGAATTATTAAGAAATTAAATAAATAAGCTAAGCTTTGGAAGCCAGGAATTCAGGGAAGAAGCTAAAAAAATCAGATGAGTAACTGATGTCACGGCAAGCAAATGTGGAACCCAGAAAACTGTGTCTTAATCAACACCCCTGCCACAAGAACTCAGAAAAGCTTAATTCCAAGGCAGGAAGTACTTGATTTCTTAATATTTCCTGCCAGAGGGAGATGGTGACTAAACTAGTCTCCCTGGGGCTGCAAGTGACTACAGGGACGTCATCATAGTTATCCTTGTGTTCCAAATGTGTAGGCTTTTGCATATCATATAAATCATTCAAACTGTGTGGGAAGAATTGGTAGTACAACTGGAGTTCTAACATAAGGTAGAGGTTAAACAAAGTTATTCAGCTTTTTCAGCAACAAAGAATACTAATCCACTTTGTAGCCATGATTTCATTTGCAATACAATGAATAACTAAGGACTTAATAAATGCTTTTTGATGGGAACTGGAATGTAATAAATCATAATAGAAGGACCATGAAAAGACCTGAAGGGAAAATTTACTGCTACCTATATAAGACCAACATGACAGGAGGAGTCAGCTGGGCAAATATTTGACTTACTGTGCTTGTCTCTATCTGTCCTTGCCCCTAAAGGTTTTAAAAGAGCTTAGCTGGGCAAACACATTCTTGCTTGGTGGTCTAGCATGAACACACTTAATGACAATGAGTTATTCCTTTCTAGTTGTGCTGTGTTTTCTTCAACAAGGGTTTAGTTCCTTCTGGAACACATAAATCAAATTAAGCAATTACTAAGTTTTTACCTTGGATTCCATCTCCAAATATGTCCTATGTATTTGTTCCCCAGTACATATTTGCTAGGGAATATTAAAGAGACTTTACCATCAAATTATTGAAATTAATTCATTCAAACATTTCTCAGGGCCTATTATGTGCAAAGATTTCCATGATGTTAAAATAAATTTTTTTGATGGAACTAAGCAATCTCTCTGCTGGGCAAATATCTAAGAATGTTCATGAGCATTATCAATAATAGCAAAACTGAAAGCAACCCAAAAGTTCGTTAGTAATATAATGAATATTGTAAAATATTTATACAATGAAACACTATTTGTGACTGAAATTAATTAATTCAACTTATATTCATCAATATGAATGAATTTCAAAATCATCTTGCTGAAATCACAAAAATTCATACAGTAGGATTCAATTTATATAAAGTTTAAAAATTTTTAAATATAATAATAAAACAAAATGTAGAATAAACAATATAAAAGTGTTTAAGGATAGATATCTAGATGGCAAAACTTCAAAGAAAGCAAGGAGAATAAAAATGTAAGACCAAGATTAATCGCTGGGAGAGAGTTTGAGGGATGCAATTGGCAAGGTGCCTCCAAGGTGCTGGTTATATCCTGTTTCTTAACCCTGGGTGGTGGGTACAGAGATATTTATTTTATTATTTAAGCCCTACAGATAGGTTTTATATACTTTTCTGTATGTACCTATATCTCGAAAAATTTTACACAGAGGTGTAAAGAATAAATGAAATGGAAGCCACTGGGAGATTTTTTTCTATTTTGATATCTCAGGAATATCAAAACTATTTTAAAAATTAATTAGCTACTCTACTAAAAATAACTTTCTCTAGGTATTCTCTAGGTAAGTATTCAGACATTGATAGACAATAGATAATTTAGATGATCACCATTGTGGAGCAAATGTGGAAAAATGAGGAATATCTGTGAAGAAAATCTATCATCTGTCTTCAGCTCTAAGGTAGTCATATCTTGTTAAACAGGAAACTCATGTTATTATTTGGTATAAATTTAAAAAATGACAATGAATTAACTGAGATGACATCCCACTCTACATAACTGCAATATCTATTAGCAGAAAGTAATTGGCTGAATGTCAAACAAAATTAGGCCGCAAAACTGACTGGATGGTCAATGACCCCTTTACACAGATGGTGAGAATTTGATCCAGAGCTAGCCAGTATTAAAAACATAATATTAGAGATATTTAAAAATTTTATTAGAGCTCTTAATTCACAAACCAATTTCTCTTTTACAGTGAGAAAGAGAAAAAATAGTGTTTAAATAGATTTACCAAGGAAAAGTTAATGGAGTTGAGATTATTTGACCAGGAGACAGGAAAATTAAAAAGCCATTAATGGTTGACCTCAGACTCATGAAGGCTTATACAGAGACTGAGCAGATGTTTCCTGTGGCTGGAGAAGAACAAACAGGAGACATCGCATTTAAATTGAAATAGGATAGATAGATGAGAGATAGATAGATAGATAGATACATGCATGCATACATACACATACATGTATACTAATATAGGTTTTTCTCTTTATAAATATACATAAAAATGTCTGAAAGGATATGCAACAACACTTAACAGGAATTTTCTTCTGAGGAATGTCATCAGGAGAGAGTAAGACTTGGAATATGCATCTTCACTTTCTATTATTCCATATTATTTGATGTTTTTGTACATGAAGCATATATTACTTTTTACTTTTCTAATTTAAATTATTTTGATTATAAATTAAAAACATAGCTCTAAATATTTGTGGATTACAAAGTGATGTTATGATTTTTAGCACAGTGTGGAATGATACACATATACATCACCTCAAATATTAATAAATTATTAATAAAGAAAAAATTATAATAGAAAACATTTGAACTAGACAGCATCATGGCTCTGAGTCTGTTATCTCTGTTATTTCAATTGGAAACAAATAACTTTTAACCATAAGCATTGTCTGAGTCAAGCATTGTTTAGTTGTAAGAAATAGAAATTCACTTGAGTTAACTTAAAGCTCTTGCAGAGGACAGGAAGTAGGGAATGGCCAGGAACGATGTGTGAGGCAAGATGGCCAAATAGGAACAGGTTCGGTCTGCAGCTCCCAGCAAGACCAATGCAGAAGGCAGGTGATTTCTGCATTTCCAATTGAGGTACCCGGCTCATCTCATTGGGACTGGTTAGACAGTGGGTTCAGCCCACGGAGGGTGAGCAGAAGCAGGGTGAGGCATCACCTCACCCAGGAAGTGCAAGGGGTCGAGGAACTACCTCCCCTAGCCAAGGAAAGCCATGAGGGAATGTGCCACGAGAGACAGTGCTATCTGGCCCAGATAGTATACTTGTCCCACTCCCACTGTCTTTGCAACATGGAGACCAGGAGATTCCCTCGGGTACCTAAACCACCAGGGCCCTGGGGTTTTAAGCACAAAACTGGGCAGCCATTTAAGCAGACATGGAGCTAGCAGGAGTTTTTTTGTTTTTGTTTTTGTTTTTTTTTACCACAGTGGCCCCAGGAACACCAGTGAGACAGAACCATTCACTCCCCTGGAAAGGAAGCTGAAGCCAGGGAGCCAAGTGGTCTTGCTCAGCAGATCCCACCCCCATGGAGCCCAACAAGCTAAGGTCCACTGGCTTGAAATTCTTTCTGCCAGCACAGCAGTCTGAAGTTGACCTGGGACACTCAAGCTTGGTGGGGGGAGGGGAGTCTGCCATTACTGAGGTTTGAGTAGGCAGTTTTCCCTTCACAGTGTAAACAAACCCCCAGAAAGTTCAAACGGGTCAGAACCCACTGAAGCCAGACTGCCTCTCTAGATTGCTCCTCTCTGGGCAGGGCATCTCTGAAAAAGAGGCAGCATCCCCAGTCAGGAGCTTATATATAGAACTCCCATTTCCCAAGGACAGAGCACGTGGGGGAAAGGGCAGCTGTGGGTGCAGCTTCAGCAGATTTAAACGTTCCTGACTGCAGGCTCTGAAGAGAGTAGGGGATCTCCCAGCACAGCACTTGAGCTCTGCTAGGGGACAGACTGCCTTCTCAAATGGGTTCCTGAACCCCGTGCCTCCTGACTGGGGGACACCTCCCAGCAGGGGCCGACAGACACCTCATACAGGAGAGCCCCAGCTGGCATCTGGTGGGTGCCCCTCTGGGATGAAGCTTCCAGAGGAAGGAGAAGGCAGTAATCTTTGCTGTTCTGCAGCCTCCGCTGGTGATACCCAGGTAAACAGGGTCTGGAGTGGACCTCCAGCAAATTCCAGCACAGCTGCAGAAGAGGGGCCTTACTGTTAAAAGAAAAACTAACATATTGAAAGCAATAATATCAACATCAACAAAAACAACGCCTACCCCCAAACCCCATCCGAACGTCACCAAAATTAAGGATCAAAGGTAGATAAATCCACGAAGATGAGGAAAAACCAGCCCCAAAAAGGGTGAAAATTCCAAAAACCAAAACAACTCCTCTCCTCCAAAAGATCACAACTCCTCACCAGCAAGAGAACAAAACTGGAAAGATAATGAGTTTGATGAATTAACAGAAGTAGGCTTCAGAACATGGGTAATAACAAACTCCTCCAAGCTAAAGGAGCATGTTCTAACCCAAAGCAAGGAAGCTAAGACACTTGATAGAAGGTTAGAGGAACTGCTAACTAGAATAACCAGTATAAAGAAGAACATAAATGACCTGATGTAGCTGAAAAACACAGTACGAGAACTTTGTGAGGCATACACAAGTATCAATAGCTGAATCAATCAAGTGGAAGAAAGGATATCAGAGATTGATGATCAAGTTAATGAAATAAAGCATGAAGACAAGATTACAGAAAAAAGAATGAAAAGCAACAAACAAAGCATCCAAAAAATATGGGACTACGTGAAAAGACCAAACCTACCTTTGATTGGTGTACCTGAAAGTGATGGGGAGAATGGAACCAAGTAGGAAAACACACTTCAGGATATTATCCAGGAGAACTTCTGCAACCTAGCAAGACAGGTCAACATTCAAATTCAGGAAATAACAGAGAACATCACAAAGATACTCCTCGAGAAGTGCAACCCCAAGACACATAATCGTCAGATTTACCGAGGTTGAAATGAAGGAAAAAATGTTAAGGGCAAACAGAGAGAAAGGTCAAGTTACCCACAAAGGGAAGCCCATCAGACTAACAGCGGATCTCTCTGAAGAAACCCTACAAGCCAGAAGAGAGTGGGGGCCAATATTCAACATTCTTAAAGAAAAGAATTTTCAACCCAGATTTTCATAACCAGCCAAACTAAGTTTCATAAGTGAAGGAGAAATAAAACTCTTTACAGACAAGCAAATGCTGAGGAATTTTGTCACCACCAGGCCTGCTTTACAAGAGATCCTTAAGGAAGCACCAAATATGTAAAGGAAAAACTGGTACCAGCCACTGGAAAAACATACCAAAATATAATGACCATCGACACTATGAAGAAACTGCATCAAATAATGGGCAAAATAACCAGCTAGCATCATATGACAGGATCAAATTCACACATAACAATACTAACTTTAAATGTAAATGGGATAAATGCCCCCAGTTAAAAGACACAGACTGGCAAATTGGATAGAGTCAAGACCTATCTGTGTGCTATATTCAGGAGACCCATCTCACATGCCAAGACACACATAGGCTCAAAATAAAGGGATGGAGGAAGATTTACCAAGCAAATGGAAAGCAAAAAAAAGCAGGGATTGCAATCCTAGTCTCTGATATAACAGGCATTAAACCAACAAAGATCAAAAGAGACAAAAAAGGGCATTACATAATGGTAAAGGGACCAATGCAACAAAAAGAGCTAACTATCCTAAATATATATGCGCCCAATACAGGAGCAACCAGATTCATAAACCAAGTTCTTAGAGACCTAAAAAAACTTAGACTCACACTCTATAATAGTAGGAGACTTTAACACCCCACTGTCAATATTAGACAGATTAACAAGACAGAAAATTAACAAGGATATTCAGAACTTCAACTCAGCTCTGGACCAAGTGGACATGTTAGACATCTACAGAACTCTCCACCCCAAATCAACATAAAATACATTTTCCCAGCACCACATAGCACTTATTCTAAAATTGACCACATAATTGGAAGTAAAACACTCCTCAGCAAATGCAAAAGAATGGAAATCATAACAAACAGTCTCTCCAACCACAGTGCAATCAAATTAGAACTCAGGATTAAGAAACTCACTCTAAACCACAAAACTACAGGGAAACTGAACAACCTGCTCCTGAATGACTACCTGGTAAATAACAAAATTAAGACAGAAATAAGTTCTTTGAAACCAATGAGAACAAAGACACAATATACCAGAATCTCTGGGACACAGCTAAAGCAGTGTTTAGAGGTAAATTTACAGCACTTAATACCCACAGGAGAAAGCGGGAAAGATCTAAAATCGACACACTAACATCACAATTATAAGAACTAGGGAAGCAAGAGCAAACAAATTCAAAAGCTAGCAGAAGACAAGAAATAACTAAGATCAGAGAAGAACTGAAAGAGATAGAAACATGAAAAACCCTTCAAAAAATCAATGAATGCAGAAGCTGGTTTTTTTGAAAAGATTAACAAAATAGATAGACCACTAGCCAGACTAATAAAGAAGAAAAGAGAGAAGAATCAAACAGAC
This sequence comes from Homo sapiens, assembly GCF_000001405.40. Classification (NCBI taxonomy): domain Eukaryota; kingdom Metazoa; phylum Chordata; class Mammalia; order Primates; family Hominidae; genus Homo; species Homo sapiens. Next base: position 111,001,898 of record NC_000003.12, read on the forward strand.
ACAATAAAAAATGATAAAGGGGATCAGATCCCAAAGAAATACAAACTACCATCAGAGAATACTATAAACACCTTTACACAAATAAACTAGAAAATCTAGAAGAAACAGGTAAATTCCTGGACACATACACCCTCCCAAGACTAAACTAGGAAGAATTTGAATCCCTAAACAGACCAATAACAAGTTCTGAAATTGAGGCAGTAATTAATAGTCTACCAACCAAAAAAAGCCCAGGACCAAATGGATTCACACCTGAATTCTACCAGAGGTACAAAGAGGAGCTGGTACCATTTCTTCTGAAACTATTCCAAACAATAGAAAAAGAGGGACTCCTCCCTAACTCATTTTATGAGGCCACCATCATCCTGATACCAAAACATGGCAGAGACACAGCAAAAAGAGAAAATGTCACGCCAATATCCCTGATGAACATCAATGTGAAAATCCTCAATAAAATACTGGCAAACTGAATCCAGCAGCACATTATAAAGCTTATCCACCACGATCAAGTCAGCTTCATCCCTGGGATGCAAGTCTGGTTCAACATAGGCAAATCAATATACATAATCCATCATAAACAGAACCAATGACAAAAACCACATGATTATCTCAATACATGCAGAAAAGGCCTTGGATAAAATTCAACACCCTTCATTCTACAAACACTCAATAAACTAGGTAATAATGGAACATACCTCAAAATAATAAGAGCTGGTTATGACAAACCCACAACCAATATACTGAATTGGCAAAAGCTAGAAGCATTCCCTTTGAAAACCGGCACAAGACAAGGATGCCCTCTCTCACCACTCCTATTCAACATAGTATTGGAATTTCTGGCCAGGGCAATCAGGCAAGGGAAAGAAATAGAGGGTATTCAAATAGGAAGAGAGGAAGTCATATTGTCTCTGTTTGCAGATGACATAATTGCATATTTAGAAAACCACATTGTCTCAGCACAAAAACTCCTTAAGCTGATAAGCAAATTCAGCAAAGTCTCAGGATACAAAATCAGGGTGCAAAAATCACAAGCATTCCTATACACCAACAATAGACAAACAGAGAGCCAAATCATTAGTGAACTCCCATTAACAATTGCTACAAAGAGAATAAAATACCTAGGAATACAACTTACAAGGGATGTGAAGCACCTCTTCAAGAAAAAATACAAACCACTGCTCAAGGAAATAAGAGAAGACACAAACAAATGGAAAAACATTCCATGCTCATGGATAGGAAGAATCAATATTGTTTAAATGGCCATACTACCCAAAGTAATTTATAGATTCAATGCTATCCCCATCAGGCTACCATTGACTTTCTTCACATAATTTAAAAAATTACTTTGAATTTCATATGGAATCAAAAAAGAGCCCATATACCCAAGACAATCCTAAGCAAAAAGAACAAAGCTGAAGGCATCACCTTACCTGTCTTCAAACTATACTACAAGGCTACAGTAACCAAAACAGCATGGTACTGGTACCAAAACAGATACATAGACCAATGGAACAGAACAGAGGCCTCAGAAATAACACTACACATCGACAACCATCTGATCTTTGACAAACGTGACAAAAACAAGCAATGGGGAAAGGATTCCCTATTTAATAAATGTTGTTGAGAAAACTGGCTAGCCATATGTAGAAAACTGAAACTGGACCCCTTCCTTATAAAAAAATTAACTCAAGATTGATTAAAGATTTAAACATAAGACCATAAGATCTAAAATCATAAAAACCCTCAAAGAAAAGCTAGGCAATACCATTCAGGAAATAGGCATGGGCAATGACTTCATTACTGAAACCCCAAAAGCAACGACAACAAAAGACAAAATTGACAAATGGGATCTAATTAAACTAAAGAGCTTCTGACAGCAAAAGAAACTATCACCAGAGTGAACCAGCAACCTACAGAATGTGAGAAAATTTTTGCAATCTATCCATCTGACAAAGGGCTAATATCCAGAATCTATAAGGAGCTTAAGCAAATTTAGAAGAAAAAAACAACCCCATCAAAAAGTGGGCAAAGGATATGAACAGAAACTTCTTAAAAGAAGACATTTATGCAGCTAATAAACATATGGAAAGAAGCTCATTATCACTAGTCATTAGAGAAATGCAAGTCAAAACCACAATGAGATACCATCTCACGTCTGTTAGAATGGCGATCATTAAAAAGTCAGAAAACAACAGATGCTGGAGAGGATGTGGAGAAATAGGAACGTTTTTACACTCTTGGTGGGAGTGTAAATTAGTTCAACCATTGTAGAAGACAGTGTGGCGATTCCTCAAGGATCTAGAACCAAAAATACAATTTTACCCAGCAATACCATTACTGGGTATATTCCCAAAGGGTTATACATTATTTTTCTATAAAGACACATGCACACATATGCTTACTGCAGCACTATTCACAATAGCAAAGACTTGGAACCAACCCAAATGCCCATCAATGATAGACTGGATAAAGAAAATGTAGCACATATATACCATGGAATACTATGCAGCCATAAAAAAGAATGAGTTCATGTCCTTGGCAGGGACATGGATGATGCTGGAAACCATCATTCTCAGCAAACTAACACAGGAACAGAAAACCAAACACCACATGTTCTCACTCATAAGTGGGAGTTGAACAATGAGAACACATGGACCCTGGGAGGGGAACATCACACACTGGGGTTGTCAGCGGGTGAGGGGCAAGGGCAGGGATAGCATTAGGAGAAATACCTAATGTAGATGACGGGTCGATGGGTGGAGCAAACCAGCATGCCACATGTATACCTATTAACCAACCTGCACATACTGCACATGTATCTTAGAACTTAAAGTATAATTTAAAAAAAAAAAGACTTAAAAAAAAAAAGAAAAGGAAAAGAATGGCCAGGAACTGGAAAGAAAGCTGGCGGGAGCCCCCCATCCCAAATGCTCTCTTCTTTCTGCTCCTCTATGATTATTTGCTTTCCTCTTCTCTTTTTCTATGTGTAAACCATTTTCCTCATTTTTCTGTGCATAAGAGATGGTGTCCTTCATTTCTGAATCTACATTATTTTCTAAAACTAGCTTTTATAGCCAACTCCCTAAACTTTCTTTTTTTCACAAATTACAGAGTGTTTCACTAGACAATTCCTGAAGTTGTGTGAGCAGAAATCTATAACCATTTCATTACTTTACAGTGGTAAGACTGATTTGTAGCTTTTTCTGTGAATGTGTCAACCTTCACTTCAAAGACTTCAGGCTTGTATTGAATGAGATATATATGAGCTTTATGAAGCTTTTTTAATGCAAAATATACAAACATGTTGTAAAAATAAATATTATCAAAAATAGTTTATGTTTCTACTCAAATGCACTTATGGAAAGGAATGATAATTTATCCAAAAAGCTATTTAGAATTTTACCAACAATATCTCATTCAAATAATGAGGTAAGACATTTCCTAAAATATCTTTTGTTTGTAATTTTCAGTGCAGTACTTTATATAAGGGCCATTCATCCTGCTTTTAATTTGTATTTATTGAAGGAGTGACTGTTAGTTTAGTGCCCACAATTTTTTTCTTACTTTATTTTAATTCCAAATAAGAAATTTACAACTTCATATCTTAACTAGCAGTTTTACTTTGTAAACATTACAGAGTGGGAGAAGCCATAAAACATGAATCCTTATTTTACTAAAATAAAATGTCTAAATCCCATTTTAAATCCCAGATTGTCCCCTAATGTCAGTCAGCTTTACCGGAGTGTTAGATTCATATGTCCATTTTTTTCCAGTTCACAGACATTGATGGAGAGTGATCTCTGAGAATGTGAAATGGACAAGTTCTCTAAGATATGGAAGGTGGGGGCAGGAAGGAAATAATAGCATCTCTTCTAAAAGGGTGCTATGTTGCTCTAATAGTGTGCAAAAGTTTGACTTTTGGGAATATGCTGTCCACTCCATATGCTCCAAAGTTCAGTGTCAAATTTATTTATAATATTTATATATGATAATTTTAGTAATATTATATTTGAATTTTCATCAGACTATTTTATCCATGGAAATTTGTATTTATATTATTTAGAAAAGATACACTTAAAAGGGTATGCGTTGCTTTATAAATCAGAAACATCTCTGCAAACTCAGAAGCCTGAGAAGGCTGCTTAACATAAAATACCTATGCCATGAGGAAAGGTGAAAATAACAAAAGTCACTCTGGGGCTGTAAAGGAAGATGACACGTTATGGATTCCATATAACCTTGTGGGCAATATGTCCAAGGAGATGCTGCCAGTCTCCTCTAGACAAGAGAAATTCTGGTGTTTTGCTGGAAAGAGACAGGCTGAGAAAAGAAGTCAATGTATTAGGTATATTCATGAAGATAATATATGAAAAAATGAGCAATAGAAACCAGTTTCTAACATAAAACTTAAAATAACAATGTACAAAGAGACAAATGCAATTTGGCCAAATAAAAGAAAAACCTGTTGAGAGAATAATTTCTTTTTATTGTCATGACCTGGAAGTGAATTTTTTACTCTTTGTTTCTCATCTTTATTTCAATTGTAGCTTCCATAACCTTCAACCTGAATATTTAATTAAACCAAAAGATAGTTGAGGTATGAGGAATTTATTTACAAATAGGAATCTATTGTGAATCATATCTTAATAGCTTGGCATCACACATCTAATCATACAAACTTTTTTTCAGGAAAGGGAGATATGAAAAAGTACAGACTAGATGAAGGACTCTTTCATTCTTTTTTTTTTTTTTTTTTTTTTTGAGATGAAGTCTCCCTCTTGTGCCCCAGGCTGGAGTGCAATGGCGCCATCTCAGGTCACTGAAACCTCTGCCTCCCAGATTCAAGCGATTCTCCTGCCTCAGCCCCCCGAGTAGCTGGGATTACAGGTGCCTGCCACCAGGCCCGGCTAATTTTTGTATTTTTAGTAGAGACAGGGTTTTACCATGTTGGCCAGGCTGGTCTAGAACTCCTGACCTCAGGTGATCCACCCGCCTCGGCCTCCCAAAGTGCTGGGATTACAGGCGTGAGCCACAGCGCCCGGCCAGGACTCTTTCAAAGTAAGGAAGGTTCAGAGCACTATTAAAGAGTTCCAGAAATTGGTGCAGTGTCAATAAACTGTGATCCTGACAATCAGTGAATATAATCAAAACTAGAAGATTTTTATTATAGTTTAACATTATCTATACTTCTCTTAATTAGTTTGTTATTAAGAGAAAGAAGTCATGGGCCAATAACTTTAAATATATAGATGTTCTTCTATGGCTAGAACTTTACACTTTGCATAGGCCTCCAATCTTGAGAACATGCATTGTAGGCTAGCCCCAGGTAATATTTGGAAAGACACAGCAGAGAGCTCAGTGCATTTTAAAAACCATGTCTGAACAAGGTATTTTAAACATTTTTCCTTAGGAGATCAATAATATATTTCAATAAAGGAACAGAACATAAATTCAAAAAAAATTTATCTGTGGGGTAACTACTTGCCTAATTTAAACTAGTGGTTTATGGTGCTCAAAACACAATTCCCAGACCAGCAGCACAAGGACCACTTAGAAACTTATTGGCAATACAAATGTTTAGTCTCCATGCCAAACCTACTGAATCAAAAATTCTGAGAGCGGGGCCCAGCAATTTTAACAAGACTTCCACGTGACTCAGATGCATTACAGTTTAAGAACCACAGCTTTAAACCATTCTAATCTAATGACTTTTATTGGAAAAAGGGGAAAATCTAGGCCACTGATAAAAATGAATTTTTTATCAAAACACCAGAAAACATATTCTTGATGGATTTATCATTCAGCCTAGGATAAAGATTAACCAAAATAATTGCAATTCAGCAGACTTTAAGCATTACATTATATATATAAATATATAATAATATATGTATATATACATATGTAATAATATATATATACATATGTAATAATATATGTATATATACATATGTAATAATATATGTATATATACATATGTAATAACATATATACATATGTAATAATATATGTATATATACATATGTAATAATATATATACATATGTAATAATATATGTATATATACATATGTAATAATATATATGTAATAATATATGTATATATACATATGTAATAATATATATATACAGATGTAATAATATATGTATATATACATATGTAATAATATATGTATATATAATATATGTATATATACATATGTAATAATATATGTATATATAATATATGTATATATACATATATTATAATATATGCATATATAAATAATATATGTATGTATACATATAATATATGTATATATAAATATATAATAATATATGTATATATAAATATATTATTATATATAAAAATATAATATAATAATATATTTATATAGAAATATATTATAATATATTTATATATGTTATATAAAATATTATATATCTAAATGTATAAACAAATATATATAAATATATGTTTCAATCACATTTCTCATTCATATTTCTCAATCAACATCATTGTTGGCTATAATAGCTTGCAGTAATAGTGGGTGCTATGGTTTGGATGTTTGTCCCCTCTGAACCTCATGTAGAAATTTGATTCCCAGTGTTGGAGGTGGGGTCTAATGGGAGGTGTTTGGGTCACGAGGGCCAGCCCTTGCTCCACTGAGGGAGAGTGAATTCTCACTCCATTAGTTCCCATGAGTGCTGGTTGTTCAAAAGAGCTTGGCACCTCCCCGCTTTCTTTTTCCTCCACTCTTGCCATGTGATTTCTGCACAAGCCAGCCTTCCTTCACCTTCTGCCATGACTAGAAGCAGCCTGAGGCCCTCACCAGATACAGATGCCCAATCGTTAACTTTTCAGCTATCAGAATCATGAATTAAATAAACCTTTTTTTAAAAAAATAAATTACCCAGTCTCTGGTAATTCTTTACAGCAACACAAAATGAACTAAGAAATTAGGATACAGTGCTGTTATTATAATATTTAACCAAAGATCCAGAAATACCAAATTTTGTCCCAGTAGCCGCCCTTCACATAGGAGGGGTGAAACACCCATTCCTTCAGTCAACAAATATATTAAGCACCTACTATTTGCCAAGTTCTAGGGTTACAGTAATGAGCAAAACAAATCACATTGCTACTTTCACAGAATAGACATTCTAATTGGACTGACAGATCATAAACAAATATATCAAAGAAACATTTAATGTATCAGACGGCAAAAAGTACTGTGACAAAAAAAAGTCAATTAAGGGGCTAGAAAGTAAGTGGGATATAGTGGACAGGGAAAGGTAGTTTTCTTTTTTTTTAGAGATGGAATCTCACTCTGTCACCCAGGCCGGAGTGCAGTGGCACGATCTCCGCTCACTGCAACCTCTGCCTCCTGGGTTCAAGCAATTCTCCTGCCTCAGCCTCCTGAGTAGCTGTGACTACAGGCACATGCTGCCATGCCCAGCTAATTTTTTTTTCTTTCTTTCTTTCTTTATTTTTTTTTTTTTTTTGGATTTTAGTAGAGACGGGGTTTCACCATGTTGCCCAGGCAGGTCTCGAACTCCTGTGCTCAGGCAATCCACCTGCCTTGGCCTCCCAAAGTGCTAGGATTACAGGCATGAGCCATCGCACCCGGCCAGGGAAAGGTAGTTTTCTTAATGTAAGGTGGTTAGTTTAGGAAAGCCGTCTCTGAGAAGGTGATACTTGCATAGAGCAGAAAATAAAGTAAGAGGGCTTATGAACACAGGGGTTGGGGGTTTAAGGTGAGTTACATCTACTTTATCAGATGTATAAAGTAGTCTACCAACAGCATCATTTGAAATAAGTGTGTTCCAAGATACATTTCATCCCTATGTGTACAGTATGCATAGTGCATGCTGCAAGTGGTATTTTAAATCACTACAAATATGGTGAAGGAGAGATAAGAGTGAGGGGGAGGTAAAGAAGAGGTGCTAGGAAGCCAGGAGCTAGATTACTAAGGGCTGTGCAAAACAAGATAAATCTTTTGTATTTCATTCTAAGACAGAAACCATCGAAGTGGTTAGAGCAGAATTATAACTAGGTTTTTAAATGATCATTCTGGCTGCTGTATTAGTTGCAAAGTTGGAAACAAGGACATCAGTTAGGAAACTATTATAATAGCCCAAGCAAGAAGTGGTGATGGAGACTTGGATTAAGGTGATAAAGGTAGATGGGGTGAAAACTGGTCAGATTGTGCATAGATTTAAAGGTAGATTCAAGTGGGCTTACTTATGGATTAGATGTAGGGAGTGAAGGAAATGAAAGAATCAAAGTTGATTCAGGATTTGAAACTTAAGCACTGGAAGTATGAAAGCTTAACAGAGAATATGCTTATAACAAGAGCAAGACAAGTTTTTAATTAGTAGCGGGAATTTTGACTTCTTGGAGGACTCTATCAAGTCACTTGATTAAGAACTTAGTAGGAGAAGGAAATAACTGGCAGGAGAGAACAATGCCCAAAAGAATAAGAGTCCTTCCTATCATAGCAGCTTATCAGAGCAAGATACCAACAGAACATTTGTGGGAAACAGAGACAGCTGTTTTGGGGCACCTTCCTGTAGCCTCGTAGACAACAAATCCCTCAGGATCAGACACCGTCAGCTACAGGTCAGAGTTAGAGATAAGGAAAATGCAGATAAAGAAAATGGAAAATCATATAATAATAGCTGATAAAACTTTGAATAGTAATAAAACCTCCCCAGGGGAACCTTTAGAAATAACTGTGGCCAAGTTTGCAGGAGGCTGGAGCTGGAGGTTTTGCACTAAGTATGGAAAAGAGCCATACAAACAGATGTTGAAGTCAATTTAATATTTATTTCACTGAAATAGGGTGTGGTTCATCTAGAATTTCTTATACGTTTCTGTGGTGTTAGAGATTTTATAAATGAAAAATTGAAAATTGCCTCCCATATTGTCATTTTTTTGCTAGTGGAATGTTTTGGAATTATTCTTCTATATTATGATATAGAAAATGCAAGTTCTAAAGTGACACAAAATGGCATTTAAAATGTCTAAAACCTTTCTTTCCAAATGGTTTTATCAGTAAAATATACATACACCATCAATATATATTTCAACACTGCTGAAAACCAAATTGACTTCTATGTGATTTCCCTTATTTTAGTATTTCTTATGCAAGCTATTTGTGATCTTTTAGAATCAGATGTATAAAGTAGTCTACCAACAGCATCATTTGAAATAAGTATGTTCTAAGATACTTTCCATCCCTGTGTGTACAGTATGCATAGAGCATGCTGCAAATGGTATTTTAAATCACTACAAATATGGTGAAGGAGAGATAAGAGGATTTTCATATCATATCTAGATTCCTAGATATGATAAATGCCTCTTCTCTGAATAGAATATATCAACTGTCAGTAAGAGCTGATGATTATTTGTATAATAGAAAAGATGCATTTTGGCTTTTGTGATGCACATAGGTATTTTTCTCAATTATTCTTGCCATTTCAGCCATCATCCCAAGAACTATCTCAGAGATAAGAAACAATGGTCATTTTCTTCCAAGAACAAAGTGAGAATTATCTTGTTTCATGATGTGATTTTTCTTTCACAGTTCTGAAAGGCTTGTTGATGTGGTTATTTGTTAAAATCTTCTTCACACCAAAGATGAAGTAAAAAAGAGAGAAAAGGGGGGAAGCCATCAATATAGTGCTACTTTCATGTTGTAAAGGAGCACTGAAGAGAAGTTAAGATCCAAATATTCAGGAGCAGTTTTAAGATCATAACTGGTGAAGTACCAAAGGAAAGACTGTTTCCATTTTCATTCACTCTGATAAGAGAAACTGAACCCCATGAGTTAGGACAGGAGGACAGATGACTTATTACAAAGCATTATTCTTTAGAGCAACCTTAGGACAATTAGGAACCACAGTATACTAAACACGACTGCTTATATGTTTATCCTGGATGATATGCCGGTGAGCTTGTCATTGTGAAAAGAAATAGAAAGAACTATTTTTACAAAATCTATGATTAACCCAAGGGACTTTCCACCAAATTTGTAGCTTAGCAAGGATTCTAAATGGATTTAAAAGGTAGGCAAGAATATAGCTATTGCATTTTCATGAATAACCCTTAAAGGCTGCAATTGACATGAAATAACAATATTTCTTCTCTTTCTTTCCAAGTACTAGCACTACTTTCTAGCTGAGGGGAGAATTTCAGCGAGATACAAGTAGCAGACTCCTTGAGTGAAACTTGGAATATAATTACTACTATAGTAGGGAGCTTTTTGGTCTTGTTCATCACTGTATCTATAGTACATAGCACAGTGTCTGGTACATATTAGGAGCTCAACAAATATATTTAATACATGATTGAGCCTATTTGGGAAAACCATACTTGTTTCCACAGCTGCTAATGCAAGATATATGACTTGAATCCCTAATGTATGGGAATGAGCCAAAAGGAAAGATCATCCAGAAGTGTTGGAGTAACTTTATTCAGGGTCAATTAAAGAACTTCCTGTGATCTCATTTGAAAAGTAAAATTAATTACAGGAATGGGTGTTTACAGTTTAAATCTTTGACTCTCTAGCATGTACTGTTTGTGTCCCATCCATACTCCCTTGGACTATAACCATTGTAGTCCACGCTAGTCTCCAACTACCAACATCTTCATCTCTTTGCTAAAGGGCTCGTCTAGCTGGCAGAACCAGAGCTAACTTCATGGGTGTATGACCAGTGCAGCCACCCAGGGCCCTGTACTCAAAAGTGGGTACGACATGCTTGAGGTTTGATTCTCTGCATTTGCTGTATTGAAATTCTTACAGTTTATCTTTGAACCTTCGTTCTGTAAGAGAAGTTCAATAGGACAATAGAACTGCACAGGGGGCTTGGAGCCACCACTTCTGCACACTCCCTGCTCCTGCTGCTTCCCTGCCTATTCCCTACCCAGACCCAGTGACTTCTGCTACCCTCCTACCATAGAGGGCGCCTGGACACAAGTTATGATGAGAGTCAGGGTTAGACACATGTGTGCAGCATACCCTATGTGCCCAATTTTGGGACAAAATGGGGTAGGGACCAGCCAACTATAAGGATCTGCACTTTCCCTGCATGTATCTACATGCCAGAGGGAGCACGACATTAAAGAGTAAACACACACTGTGTGAGTGTGTGTGTATTTGTGTGTGTGTGTGAGAGAGAGAGAGAGGAGAGAGAGAGACAGCGAGAGAGAGAGGCAGAGAAATAGCAAAAGCCTTTTTCCACAAGGGATCTCACATTCTCATTTTGATTTTGCTCTGAGCCACAAAAATCCTGTAGTTGACCCTGAGTGGAACTCTCTCTGCCCATACACATGGCAGACCAGTAGTGCCAGAGAATCAATTCCCACCCTCCTCACCCTACCCTTAACTAGTGACTGGTTGTTGGAGTTAGTGGGAGAATTTTTGAGGCACATGTTCTACATTGGCTCCAGTGTTCTCCGGCAGGATGAAGCTCCTTCTATCCTCAGTGGTAACTTGCATGATGATGCACTCTATTGGCTGCCTTCCCTTCTCTATCTCTCTTCCTCACTTCTCTACTGGTTTTTCCTGAAATCAGGTCTCAAGTAAACCACTTGGACTTGAATCCTTTTCTCAGGGTCTGTTTCTGGAGAAACTCAATATAATATAGATTCATAAGCCAAAATTTGAGAGACATTTCTAATACCCTTGACAACTTGAAAAATAAATTTCTCCAGTATAGTGGGTCCTTTCCTCCTCAGTCTTCTAATTCAAAGGCTTAGAGTTTGTATTTTTGTTTATCTTTTAGTATGTGGAACACAAAATCAAACTTCATTTTTTCCCTTTATTTTACCCCCTGGTCTGAATGAACAGGGTTTGAGTCTCCCAAGGTTCCTCCCCACTCTATAATTCAGTGAATATTCTGGTCTCTCTCTACAAGAAATGAAAAAGTTGCCCTATACCTAGTACCACTAAACATAATAAAATTTTCTATGGATTTCTGAATTCTGTATGGAGGTGTTTGTTTTTGTTAAATATGACCCTCAAATTACAAACAACCTACACAATATATTTCTGAACCTTTGTTCTTGAAAACAAATACAGTATGTTCCATTGAATCTGTAAATGCAACTTCAACATTTCTTTCCAGATTTGGGTAAGAAGTCGGAAATGATATAAAGGTATAGGGGGTGTGGGTTTTTTTTTGAGATGAAAATATGTTTTATACTTAATTTTTTTAAGTTTTAAATCTTTATTTTAGAATATTTAACACTAAGGAAGTTGATTTTTAAAAAAATTATATATGCTCAAGCACTACTTCTTACTCCTGATGTGAAAGGGAAAGATTAGAGGATGTTGACAGGGTCTTGGTTAGACATCCCATTTGGGGAGTTGCCTTGGAAGAAAAAATAATAATATGATGCTAAAACTTAAAATATTAATTGCTACTTGCTGCTTCTTCCCTCCAATGATTCATGGTCTTTTGGTTAAAAGTAACTGCAATCACTAATAAAAAGAGCCCATTTCTTGCCATGTTTCAGACCTAATAAATGGAGGATTAATAAAACCAAACTAGGGCTGCTAAGAAATATTCTAGATCATCTCCTAACATAAGTACTTGATGTAAACATCAACCACTCTAGGTACAAACCTAACTACTAGGCCTTTTGACTGATCTGTCTGTTCTGCCTATCTACCTGGTTCTTCCATTCTTACCCTCCTTTCTACCTATCCCACTACACTGTACCAATTCCTTGTCCTGATGCAAAGTTCACACATTCATATATTCACTCTTTGAACAATAATTAGTTGATAACCTATTATGGAATATGGTGATCTACAATTCAAGTAAAAACATGGTCTGCAGAATGGCAGCACCAACGTCACCTGAAAGTTTGTTAGAGGTACAAATTTCTAGTCCCCACCTCACACCAACTGAATCAGAATCTCTGAAGGTGGGACCCAGGAATTTTTGTAACTAGCTGCCCATGGAATTCCTATGTAACTAAGGTCTGAGAAACATGTCTGGATCTAGATTGGGGCCCAAGAATTTGCATTTCTAATAAGCTTTCAGGAAATGTCGATGCTGCTAGTCCAGGGACCCCACTTTGAGAACCACCAATCTAGAAATTTAAGTTCTTTTCCCTGTTACTCAACAACAGCCTATATCTAAATCTCCCCAAATTATTTTTTATCCTCATTCTCTACTTTTCCAAACTAAACACAAGTTTGTCGGAAAGTTTGAGGCCCAACTTGTGAACTCAAAGCCTTTCAAATTTGGTAGCAATACACAACAACTGCCACTGTACCCTGTTAGTATTATCTCCCTCATTATCTTCATTTTTGCTTCACATGCTTTATCAGAAAACCTCACAGCATGTTGAATTGCGTACAACTTTGAGTTAGATTGTACAGGCCTAAGCTATAAATTTACATTAACTAGGTAATTTTGAACAAGTCACTTAAGATTTCTGAAGTTCATTTCCTTATCTGCACAATGAAAATGACATGGGTTGGAAGAGATTATGTACAGTCATCCATGTGGAGGATTGTTAGTTCCAGAGTAATCCCCATATAACCAAATCCATGCATACTTAAATCCTACAGTTGACTCCCTACAACCCGTGTATATGAAAAGTCAGTCCTCCATATACTTGGGTTGCATCTGAGAATACTGTATTTTCAGTCTGCATTTGGTTAGACAAAAAGAACACATACAAGCATGTCCACACAGCTCAAACCCATATTGTTCAAAAGTCAGCTCTATTTGAAATAAGCTATCAACAAGGTCTGACTTACAGTAGTTGCTCAATAAATATGATTTAAATTTTTATATCACAACCTTTTTCTCTTTCTTTAATATCATCTGATACCAGGTAATGATATGAGGATGATTTTTGTTACTTTTAAAATTTGATTTAACTTTACCCTCTATATTTTATTCCTCCTTCATTTTGGTGACCTCTAAGAAGTATAAAATACATTTCTTTTGATTTAAAAAATATCTGAAGTTTTAAAAACTACAACAGACTGTAATAGAATGTCACAGTGGTTGTTCTAATGTTCAGTTTTCTATATTTTCTTGTCATTTGATGCCAAATAAAAGTCATAGCTAAATATACCTTAAAATTTCTCATTAGAAAAAATAGCTTCAACATTGACTAAGCCATTTATCCAAGTACCTGAAATCCCTTTATAGGCATTAGCTAATTAAGTTTTAAGACACCTTCATCAGTAAAGTAAGAATTAGAACACCTAGACTAAAACCACATAGGCTAGTTTAAGAAATAGGGGCTTATACTATATCAATCAAAGTAAACTGAACAGATTACAGCACAGCCAGTCTGTATATTCTCATCATTTTGATAACTGAAAAGAGGTTTGAAAACTTTTGAACTCTGAGAATCATTTGAAAAGAATTTTTAAAATCATGTTTATATAAAAGCGATGCAATATGTATGCTTATAAAAATCAAATAGTACTGAAAAAGTTATAATGAATATATCAACCATTTTTCTCCATATCTCTCCAACACCAGATTCCATTCCCTAAAGATAATCTCTTTTTAATACAAGCTGCTGCATTTATAAATAATATGTTTATATTGCTATTCTTTTTTTAGTGACAGTGTCTTGCTCTGTTATTCAGGCTGGAATGCAGTGACACCACCACAGCTCCCTACAGCCTCAACCTCCCAGGCTCAAGCGATTCTCACACCTCAGCCTCCCAAGCAACTGAGAACACAGCCAAGCCACCAAGCCTGGCTAATTTTTTTATTTTTTGCAGAGATCAAGTCCCACTGTGTTGTCTAGGCTGATCTCCAAAGCCTAGGCTCAAACCTTCCTCCCAACACATCCTCTCAAGTGCTGGGGTTACAGGCGTGAGCCATCACGTGCAGCCTATATTGCTATTCTTGATTTACCAATGTTAGACACTATTTATGTCTTTCTCTAATATGTGAGGATTTAGCTGTTACAACACAGCCACAACCTCTCTCCAATTCCTTCCAATATATTTATATAATTTTTAGTTAAGTAACCTAACAGTGTTTATATTTCGAAGATACATAAATATCACTGCAGTCAAGTAGTTGGACCCTCACCCAAGCAGTTTTACTATAGTTATTTCTTACACAGTTTTTCGGTTTGTTTCTGGAATTCCTAATTATTTCACTTTACTCTTATATATTATTTCTTAAAGTCATTCTTACTTTTTTTTTTCTGAAGTCTCATCATATCATGTATTTATAAAATGAGTCCTGTCTCTCCCCACCCCTAATCACAGAAAGTTTCTATCTCAACTTGCTGCTTCATTTGGGGCTGCTGCTCTCCAAACCTGCTGCATAGGTATCCTGTGACTATCCTTGACTACTCTTCTGGCTTGCAGCAACAATTTCCTAGATTTCATGTCTTCCTATCTCCTGATTTTCTACCTGTATTGCTGGAGGCAAATATTCTGATTCTTTGCTGACTGAAGATGTTTTTCTTTTCTCCACCCTCACACTTGATACTTTGTATAAGTATAGAATTCCAGGTAGAAAATCATTTTCCCGTCTGAATTTTAAAAACAATAGATTACCATTTAACAAATGGTGCTGGGAAAACTGGCTTGCCATATGTAGAAAGCTGAAACTGGATCCCTTCCTTACACCTTATACAAAAATTAATTCAAGATGGATTAAAGACTTAAATGTTAGACCTACAACCCTAAAAACCCTAGAAGAAAACCTAGGCAATACCATTCAGAACATAGGCATGGGCAAGGACTTCATGTCTAAAACACCAAAGGCAATGGCAACAAAAGCCAAAATTGACAAATGGGATCTAATTAAACTATAGAGCTTCTGCACAGCAGAAGAAACCACCATCAGAGTGAACAGGCAACCTACAGAACGAGAGAAAATTTTTGCAATCTACTCATCTGGCAAAGGGCTAATATCCAGAATCTACAATGAACTCAAACAAATTTACAAGAAAAAAACAACCCCATCAAAAAGTGGGTGAAGGATATGAACAGACGCTTCTCAAAAGAAGACATTTATGCAGCCAACAGACACATAAAAAAATGCTCATCATCACTGGCCATCAGAGAAATGCAAATCAGAACCATAATGAGGTACCATCTCACACCAGTTAGAATGGTGATCATTAAAAAGTCAGGAAACAACAGGTGCTGGAGAGGATATGGAGAAATAGGAACACTTTTACACTGTTGGTGGGACTGTAAACTAGTTCAACCATTGTGGAAGTCAGTGTGGCGATTCCTCAGGGATTTAGAACTAGAAATACCATTTGACCCAGCCATCCCATTACTGGGTATATACCCGAAGGAATATAAATCATGCTGCTATAAAGACACATGCACACGTATGTTTATTGCAGCGCTAATCACAATAGCAGACTTGGAACCAACCCAAATGTCCAACAGTGATAGACTGGATAAAGAAAATGTGGCACATATACACCATGGAATACTACGCAGCCATAAAAAATGATGAGTTCACGTTCTTTGTAGGAACGTGGATGAAGCTGGAAACCATCATTCTCAACACAAAGAACGTGGATGAAGCTGGAAACCATCATTCTCAACAAACTATCGCAAGGACAAAATACCAAACACCGCATGTTCTCACTCATAGGTGGGAATTGAACAAGGAGAACACTTGGACACAGGAAAGGGAACATCACACACCGGGGCCTGTTGTGGGGTGGGGGGACGGGGGAGGGATAGCATTAGGAGATACACCTAATGTAAATGACGAGTTAATGGGTACAGCACACCAACATGGCACATGTATACACATGTAACAAACCTGCACGTTGTACACATGTACCCTAGAACTTAAAGTATAATAAAACATATAGGGGAGGAGCCAAGATGGCCGAATAGGAACAGCTCCGGTCTACAGCTCCCAGCGTGAGCGACGCAGAAGACGGGTGATTTCTGCATTTCCATCTGAGGTACCGGGTTCATCTCACTAGGGAGTGCCAGACAGTGGGCGCAGGCCAGTGGGTGCGCGCACCGTGCGCGAGCCGAAGCAGGGCGAGGCATTGCCTCACCTGGGAAGCGCAAGGGGTCAGGGAGTTCCCTTTCCGAGTCAAAGAAAGGGGTGACGGACGCACCTGGAAAATCGAGTCACTCCCACCCGAATATTGCGCTTTTCAGACTGGCTTAAAAAACGGCGCACCACGGGACTATATCCCACACCTGGCTCGGAGGGTCCTACGCCCACGGAGTCTCGCTGATTGCTAGCACAGCAGTCTGAGATCAAACTGCAAGGCGGCAGCGAGGCTGGGGGACGGGCGCCCGCCATTGCCCAGGCTTGCTTAGGTAAACGAAGCAGCCAGGAAGCTCCAACTGGGTGGAGCCCACCACAGCTCAAGGAGGCCTGCCTGCCTCTGTAGGCTCCACCTCTGGGGGCAGGGCACAGACAAACAAAAAGACAGCAGGAACCTCTGCAGACTTAAATGTCCCTGTCTGACAGCTTTGAAGAGAGCAGTGGTTCTCCCAGTACGCAGCTGGAGATCTGAGAATGGGCAGACCGCCTCCTCAAGTGGGTCCCTGACCCCTGACCCCCGAGCAGCCTAACTCAGAGGCACCCCCCAGCAGGGGCACACTGACACCTCACATGGCAGGGTATTCCAACAGACATGCAGCTGAGGGTCCTGTCTGTTAGAAGGAAAACTAACAAACAGAAAGGACATCCACACCAAAAACCCATCTGTACATCACCATCATCAAAGACCAAAAGTAGATAAAACCACAAAGATGGGGAAAAAACAGAACAGAAAAACTGGAAACTCTAAAATGCAGAGCACCTCTCCTCCTCCAAAGGAATGCAGTTCCTCACCAGCAACGGAACAAAGCTGGATGGAGAATGACTTTGACGAGCTGAGAGAAGAAGGCTTCAGACGATCAAATTACTCTGAGCTACGGGAGGACATTCAAACCAAAGGCAAAGAAGTTGAAAACTTTGAAAAAAATTTAGAAGAATGTATAACTAGAATAACCAATACAGAGAAGTGCTTAAAGGAGCTCATGGAGCTGAAAACCAAGGCTCGAGAACTACGTGAAGAATGCAGAAGCCTCAGGAGCCGATGCGATCAACTGGAAGAAAGGGTATCAGCAATGGAAGATGAAATGAATGAAATGAAGCGAGAAGGGAAGTTTAGAGAAAAAAGAATAAAAAGAAATGAGCAAAGCCTCCAAGAAATATGGGACTATGTGAAAAGACCAAAGCTACGTCTGATTGGTGTACCTGAAAGTGATGCGGAGAATGGAACCAAGTTGGAAAACACTCTGCAGGATATTATCCAGGAGAACTTCCCCAATCTAGCAAGGCAGGCCAACATTCAGATTCAGGAAATACAGAGAACGCCACAAAGATATTCCTCGAGAAGAGCAACTCCAAGACACATAATTGTCAGATTCACCAAAGTTGAAATGAAGGAAAAAATGTTAAGGGCAGCCAGAAAGAAAGGTCGGGTTACCCTCAAAGGGAAGCCCATCAGACTAACAGCGGATCTCTCGGCAGAAACCCTACAAGCCAGAAGAGAGTGGGGGCCAATATTCAACATTCTTAAAGAAAAGAATTTTCAACCCAGAATTTCATATCCAGCCAAACTAAGCTTCATAAGTGAAGGAGAAATAAAATACTTTACAGACAAGCAAATGCTGAGAGATTTTGTCACCACCAGGCCTGCCCTAAAAGAGCTCCTGAAGGAAGCGCTAAACATGGAAACGAACAACCGGTACCAGCCGCTGCAAAATCATGCCAAAATGTAAAGACCATCGAGACTAGGAAGAAACTGCATCAACTAACGAGCAAAATCACCAGCTAACATCAGAATGACAGGATCAAATTCACACATAACAATATTAACTTTAAATGTAAATGGACTAAATGCTCCAATTAAAAGACACAGACTGGCAAGTTGGATAAAGAGTCAAGACCCATCAGTGTGCTGTATTCAGGAAACCCATCTCACGTGCAGAGACACACATAGGCTCAAAATAAAAGGATGGAGGAAGATCTACCAAGCAAATGGAAAACTAAAAAAGGCAGGGGTTGCAATCCTAGTCTCTGATAAAACAGACTTTAAACCAACAAAGATCAAAAGAGACAAAGAAGGCCATTACATAATGGTAAAGGGATCAATTCAACAAGAGGAGCTAACTATCCTAAATATATATGCACCCAATACAGGAGCACCCAGATTCATAAAGCAAGTCCTGAGTGACCTACAAAGAGACTTAGACTCCCAAACATTAATAATGGGAGACTTTAACACCCCACTGTCAACATTAGACAGATCAATGAGACAGAAAGTCAACAAGGATACACAGGAATTGAACTCAGCTCTGCACCAAGCGGACATAATAGACATCTACAGAACTCTCCACCCCAAATCAACAGAATATACATTTTTTTCAGCACCATACCACACCTATTCCAAAATTGACCACATACTTGGAAGTAAAGCTCTCCTCAGCAAATGTAAAAGAACAGAAATTATAACAAACTATCTCTCAGACCACAGTGCAATCAAACTAGAACTCAGGATTAAGAATCTCACTCAAAACCGCTCAACTACATGGAAACTGAACAACCTGCTCCTGAATGACTACTGGGTACATAACGAAATGAAGGCAGAAATAAAGATGTTCTTTGAAACCAACGAGAACAAAGACACGACATACCAGAATCTCTGGGATGCATTCAAAGCAGTGTGTAGAGGGAAATTTATAGCACTAAATGCCCACAAGAGAAAGCAGGAAAGATCCAAAATTGACACCCTAACATCACAATTAAAAGAACTAGAAAAGCAAGAGCAAAAACATTCAAAAGCTAGCAGAAGGCAAGAAATAACTAAAATCAGAGCAGAACTGAAGGAAATAGAGACATAAAAAACCCTTCAAAAAAATCAAGGAATCCAGGAGCTGTTTTTTTGAAAGGATCAACAAAATTGATAGACCGCTAGCAAGACTAATAAAGAAAAAAAGAGAGAAGAATCAAATAGACACAATAAAAAATGATAAAGGGGATATCACCACTGATCCCACAGAAATACAAACTACCATCAGAGAATACTACAAACACCTCTATGCAAATAAACTAGAAAATCTAGAAGAAATGGATACATTCCTGGACACATACACTCTCCCAAGACTAAACCAGGAAGAAATTGAATCTCTGAATAGACCAATAACAGGCTCTGAAATTGTGGCAATAATCAATAGCTTACCAACCAAAAAGAGTCCAGGACCAGATGGATTCACAGCCGAATTCTACCAGAGGTACAAGGAGGAACTGGTACCATTCCTTCTGAAACTATTCCAATCAATAGAAAAAGAGGGAATCCTCCCTAACTCATTTTATGAGGCCAGCATCATTCTGATACCAAAGCTGGGCAGAGACACAACCAAAAAAGAGAATTTTAGACCAATATCCTTGATGAACATTGATGCAAAAATCCTCAATAAAATACTGGCAAACCGAATCCAGCAGCACATCAAAAAGCTTATCCACCATGATCAAGTGGGCTTCATCCCTGGGATGCAATGCTGGTTCAATATACGCAAATCAATAAATGTAATCCAGCATATAAACAGAGCCAAAGACAAAAACTACATGATTATCTCAATAGATGCAGAAAAAGCCTTTGACAAAATTCAACAACCCTTCATGCTAAAAACTCTCAATAAATTAGGTATTGATGGGACGTATTTCAAAATAATAAGAGCTATCTATGACAAACCCACAGCCAATATCATACTGAATGGGCAAAAACTGGAAGCATTCCCTCTGAAAACTGGCACACGACAGGGATGCCCTCTCTCACCGCTCATATTCAACATAGTGTTGGAAGTTCTGGCCAGGGCAATCAGGCAGGAGAAGGAAATAAAGGGTATTCAATTAGGAAAAGAGGAAGTCAAATTGTCCCTGTTTGCAGATGACATGATTGTTTATCTAGAAAACCCCATTGTCTCAGCCCAAAATCTCCTTCAGCTGATAAGCAACTTCAGCAAAGTCTCAGGATACAAAATCAATGTACAAAAATCACAAGCATTCTTATACACCAACAACACACAAACAGAGAGCCAAATCATGAGTGAACTCCCATTCACAATTGCTTCAAAGAGAATAAAATACCTAGGAATCCAACTTACAAGGGACGTGAAGGACCTCTTCAAGGAGAACTACAAACCACTGCTCAATGAAATGAAAGAGGATACAAACAAATGGAAGAACATTCCATGCTCATGGGTAGGAAGAATCAATATCGTGAAAATGGCCATACTGCCCAAGGTAATTTACAGATTCAATGCCATCCCCATCAAGCTACCAATGACTTTCTTCACAGAATTGGAAAAAACTACTTTAAAGTTCATATGGAACCAAAAAAGAGCCCGCATCGCCAAGTCAATCGTAAGCCAAAAGAACAAAGCTGGAGGCATCACACTACCTGACTTTAAACTATACTACAAGGCTACAGTAACCAAAACAGCATGGTACTGGTACCAAAACAGAGATATACATCAATGGAACAGAACAGAGCCCTCAGAAATAATGCCGCATACCTACAACTATCTGATCTTTGACAAACCTGAGAAAAACAAGCAATGGGGAAAGGATTCCCTATTTAATAAATGGTGCTGGGAAAACTGGCTAGCCATATGTAGAAAGCTGAAACTGGATCCCTTCCTTACACCTTATACAAAAATCAATTCAAGATGGATTAAAGATTTAAACGTTAGACCTAAAACCATAAAAACCCTAGAAGAAAACCTAGGTATTACCATTCAGGACATAGGCATGGGCAAGGACTTCATGTCCAAAACACCAAAAGCAATGGCAACAAAAGCCAAAATTGACAAATGGGATCTAATTAAACTAAAGAGCTTCTGCACAGCAAAAGAAACTACCATCAGAGTGAACAGGCAACCTACAAAATGGGAGAAAATTTTCACAACCTACTCATCTGACAAAGGGCTAATATCCAGAATCTACAATGAACTCAAACAAATTTACAAGAAAAAAACAAACAACCCCATCAAAAAGTGGGCGAAGGACATGAACAGACACTTCTCAAAAGAAGACATTTATGCAGCCAAAAAACACATGAAAAAATGCTCATCATCACTGGTCATCAGAGAAATGCAAATCAAAACCACTATGAGATATCATCTCACACCAGTTAGAATGGCAATCATTAAAAAGTCAGGAAACAACAGGTGCTGGAGAGGATGTGGAGAAATAGGAACACTTTTACACTGTTGGTGGGACTGTAAACTAGTTCAACCATTGTGGAAGTCAGTGTGGCGATTCCTCAGGGATCTAGAACTAGAAATACCATTTGACCCAGCCATCCCATTACCGGGTATATACCCAAAGGACTATAAATCATGCTGCTATAATGACACATGCACACGTATGTTTATTGCGGCATTATTCACAATAGCAAAGACTTGGAACCAACCCAAATGTCCAACAATGATAGACTGGATTAAGAAAATGTGGCACATATACACCATGGAATACTATGCAGCCATAAAAAATGATGAGTTCATATCCTTTGTAGGGACATGGATGAAATTGGAAATCATCATTCTCAGTAAACTATCGCAAGAACAAAAAACCAAACACCGTATATTCTCACTCATAGGTGGGAATTGAACAATGAGATCACCTGGACACATGAAGGGGAATATCACACTCTGGGGACTGTGGTGGGGTGGGGGGAGGGGGGAGGGATAGCATTGGGAGATATACCTAAGGCTAGATGACGAGTTAGTGGGTGCAGCGCACCAGCATGGCACATGTATACATATGTAACTAACCTGCACAATGTGCACATGTACTCTAAAACTTAAAGTATAAAAAAAAAAAAAGTGTCAGACATGATACAAGATGATTTAAATAAAAGACCTCTTTAAATAAAAAAAAATAATAAAACATATATATATAAAAATAGATTACTAACAATGAATACACTAGAAGGTAATGGATTAAACATGCCGTGGTCTAATTTGGCACCCCCATATGCAAACATTGTAAAGAATTCTTAGAGAATGTTTTGATACGCTACAAGCTTAAGGGAAAGAAAAAAATAACTCTTGGAGAATTAAAAAATGGTATAGATCCCATGGTAACAAGATTTTGGTTTAAAGTAGGATTGGCTATATAATCTTCAGAGCCCAATGCAAAATGATGATGTGGAGCCCCTTGTTAATAAGTCATGAGGAATTTCAAAATATTGACAGCAGAGCAGTAGAGTATTAGACCAAACACAGGGCTTCTTTTTTTTTTTTTTTTTTTTTTTTTTTTGGAGATAGATGGAGTCTCACACTGTCACCCGGGCTGGAGTGCAGTGGCGTGATCCTGGCTCACTGCAACCTGAGCCTTCCAGGTTCAAGTGATTCTCCTGCCTCAGCCTCCCGAGTAGCTGGAATTACAGGCACCCGCCACCACGCTCAGCTAATTTTTTGTATTTTTAGTAGAGATGGGGTTTCACTATGTTGATCAGGCTAGTTTCAAACTCCTGACCTCGTGATTCGCCTGCCTCCGCCTCTCAAAGTGCTGGGATTACAGGCGTGAGCCACCATGCCCAGCCCACAAGGGCCTTTTAAGTTCAGGGCCCTATTCAACTGCACAGGTCACATGCCTGTGAAGCTGGCCTTGATTTAAGATGTGGATCTATAGACCATCTCTTTAATCTTCAATCCCTCACTTCATTTCACTGAGCCTTAGAGTTCTAATTCTAAAGCAGAAGTTCCAATTCTATAGTTCTAATTCTGTAGTTCCAATTCTAAAGCAAGGGAAGATAATGGTATCTTCCCTTCCAACCATGGATTGTGTTGGCTTACATATGTGATAAAATAATATATGTGTGAGCAGTATGTAAATCATAAGAGTGTAAAAAAAGTTATTATATGTGGAATACTTTCCTGTGTCATTGATAGAATTAGGTTGATGTGTGCTTCATTGTACCCTCTTTTACAGATGGAAAACTACTGTACAAACATTTCACAGCTTCAAATACTTCAGATATATATTTTAGAGCTATCCCAACACCATTTTTGTAGAACTGATGGATGGATACTACTGTACAGACATTTCACAGCTTCAAATACTTCAAATATATATTTTAGAGCTATCCCAACACCAGTTTTGTAGAACTGATGGATGGATACTACTGTACAGACATTTCACAGCTTCAAATACTTCAAATATATATTTTAGAGCTATCCCAACACCAGTTTTGTAGAACTGAAGCTGTAACACATTATTGAAATCACATCATAATCTGAAACCTAAAACAAATAAACTTTTTATGGAAAAACAGGTGAAATTAGCATAATTTCACCTTACCAATGGCATTTTAGTCAGCACTTAAATTTGCCTTAAGTTGTGAAATATGAATGATAACACAGTGTGATTTACTAAATGGGTCAAGTATCCCTTATCCAAAATGCTTCAGACAAGAAGCATTTGGATTTCAGATTTTTTTCAGATTCTGAAATATTTGCATTATTCAACTGAGCATCCCAAATCTGAAAATCCAAAATCCAAAATGCTCCAATGAGCATTTCTTTTGAGTGTCATGTTGAGTGCTTCAAAAGCTTCAGATTTTAAAGCACTTCAGATTTCGGATTTTTGGATTTTGGATTCTCAATCTACCTCATGCCCTGTGTTTCACCTGGCGATGCTGCTAAAATGATAGGCCTTTACCCAATTTCAAGTTATATTCATTCGTAAGTTTGTGCAGATGCCCTGTTTCAGTGTTTGAATCCTGGATTAGTTACTAACTAGCTGTGTGACATCAAATAAATTACAAAATCTTTCAAATTTCATAGGGTTCTTGTGAGGACTAACTAATGTATGTGTAATTTCAGACACATAATAGGTGCTCAGCAAACAGTTGCCACTATTGTTATTATTTTATTAGAACCATAGGAATAGTAATTTTATTTTTAAAATAATCAAGCATATCAATTTTTATACAAGAAAATTATTTCAAAAGAACCCAATTCAAACATTCTAATATATAGTTTCATGGACAGAAATTAGTACTCAGCTTCTTAATAGATCAGAACTGTGCTTTTAGACCAGGGATTGAAACTATAGCCCACTGCCTGCTTTTATACAGCTTTTGAGATAAAAAGAGTTTTTACACTTTTAAATGATTGAAAAAAATTTTTGTGAGAAAATTTCAGGAAATTTAAATTTTAGTGTCCATAAATTGTTTCATCATAACTCAGCCATACTCACTTATTTATATATTGTCTATGGCTGCTGTTGAGATACAACAACACTTAAATTGTTACAACACAGACCTTACGGCCTGCAAAGCTAAAACGTTTAGTATCCAGATGTTAACAGAAAAAGTTTACTGAACCCCCACCCCCACTAGACCAGTCCTGACTCCTTGCTACATTGCCACAATCCAATGAGACCATTCTAGTAAGCTCACATTGTTGCCTCTCTGTCTCGAAACAGATCTCCTGTAGCACTTCACATTCCACCATCAAACCATCCTGACTCCCCAACTCCTGATTCCTCATCCATCTCCTGATATCTGCATTTGCCCTGATGGCTCTGACCTCACTTCTTGACCACAACTCACATTTACTTCTAATAATACATCAGCTCCCGCTAATCAGATGGAAGAGACCATTGGATCCCATTCAGATATGAAACCCCACTCCAGCAAGTTAATCCAGTGGGAATTTCCAAGTGTATTCTGGATGCACTTCTGGAAAATTTGGTGCATTTCACTCACCCACTATGTATATTAAACATCTGCTATATACCTAAGACTCTAGTATGTAAGAGGGAGGGGGTATAGGGGGTAGAGAGAAGGGTGGTTTGGGGAAGAAGAAAGGGACAAAAAAAGGTAGTGAGATAAAACAATCAAGAAAATGAATCAGTTTAGTGATAGGCTGTGAGTTACAGACAAGATAATAGAAATTCAAAAATAAAAGATGGATAGGTGGAATGGAAATAATTTTAAAAAAGACTCCACTGGGAAGATTAGAACTAAGCTAGCTGAAGATAGTGTGGATTTGCAGAACAGATATTAGGGGAAAGCAGAAAAAATAAATAGGTAGGTGAAATGAGTTCTATATTTGAATGACCTACCTATAATATGTGTCCCAAATTGTGAAGCTGCCTCACTTCCCCAATCTCCCACTTCCTGTAGCAATAAACTGCAAAAAGCCACAGCCACTGAGTAGGCTAAAAATTGGCAACTCTCTCTGGCTGGACCCGTGAAGGAAGGCACACTTTCCTCCAGCAATGTAAGCAGACCCATATTAGGGCACACAATAAGGTAAAGAAGGATGGCTTTCAGTCTCCCTTTGCATCCCCAAAACTGAACACTCTTGCACAGCACAACCTAACCAATAATACATTGCAGATCTACAAATGAGTGGATCCCTAACTGCAGCTTGTGTTTGGACATATTTTGTTGACATCTTCTACTGCATTAAAACCACTTGAATTAACAAATTAGTTGGCAATATGTTATGTTGGCTAGGATTGGGTAAACAGGTACTCTCACACGTTGTTGGTGGGGAAGCAAAAATCATACAATTCCTACAGAGAGGAATTTTCCAAATTCTACTGTAATTACCTATGCATTGCCCTTTGGCACAGCAATTCCAATTCTAGGCATCTGTTGTGAAGACATACTGGCAAAAATACAAAATTACTTATGTCGAAGGCTATACTTTAAAGCTTTATTTATTTATTATTTCTAGTAAACTGGAACAACCAAAACATCTATTAATAGTAGATTGGCTCAATAAACCAGATTTGGCAAAATTTTTCTGTAAAAGGCCAGATACTAAATATTTTAGACTCTGGTCTCTATGGTCTCTGTTGCAACTACTCATCTTTCTCACTGCAGCACAAAAGCAGCAATAGACAATATACAAATGAGCATGGTTGTGTTTTAATATAACTTTATTTGTGAACACTGAAATTTGCCTTTTAAATAATTTTCATTTTTAAAAAATACTATTATTATTTTAATTTTGTTTTCAGTCATTTAGAAACATAAAACTGATTCTTAGCTTGAAGTTCATAAAAAATAGGTATAAACAATGGTACATCCCCATAATGGGACCCTGTATAGTTGCCCAAAAAAATGAGGAAGATATTCATACACTAATATGGATCCAGAATGTAGTAAGTGAAAAAAACAAGGGGCATACAGTGTTTATAGTGTGCTATTGTTTAAAAAATTGAAGGAAATATGATTGTCAATATATACAATGTTTTTATTTTCAAAAATATAGGATGGAGGATAAAACAAAAACTAATTAAAGAAATTACTTATAAGAGGGATGAAACAGACCACAGTAAAAGGAAATGGAAGGAAGATTTTTGTGAATGTAACTGGTAATATCATTTTGACTTTGGGATACAGTTTTGACATAATTAACAAAAAATGAAATCACCAAGAAAAAATTGATTTAGTTGTCAACATTTAAAAATCGGGATATGTCAAAGAAATCTGAATTTTCTTTCTCTTGAACTATTGAAAGATCTGGCTGGTATTTCTGAGTCCACTTTCCCATGTGGGAGTCACCTGACGAAGCCAAGTTTTAGCAACCTCCTTTTCAGGAAGACATATTCTCTGATTGGCTACAAGACCTGCTCAGTTGGCTTCACTTTACTTTGCTTGGCATGTGTAAGCATTTAAGCTTGCAACGTCTGCCCAGGAGAAACAAACTAATTAATATTTGATGCTTAATATGACAGGTAATAGGAAACTATTCAATATTTTGAGCATGAGTGTGCAATGATAAAAGTAGTGTTTCAAGGAAATTAACCTGCCAGTTTATGTATGACAATTTGGAGTGTGGAAGAGCCTGATTCCAAAGAGTCTAATACATATTTGTTTAGGTTAACATAGGCATGGGATAAACTGACCAGGTGGCTGATGGCTGCAAGATGGAGAGAAAGTGAAACAAAAGTCACCAGGAGAGGGAAATTGCTACATTAGAGCTGGAAAAAACCTGAGAGCTCATTTAATCTCATGTCCCCATTTTACAAGAAACTGAAGCTCAAACTGGTAAAGGAGTGTATTTGCAGTTTCACATCTGGTTAATATCAAGGTTAAGATTATCATCTAAACTTTCTGGGTCTTAATCTAATCTAATTACCACTAAATTTTATTGTTTTGAGATTGCAATAGGTAGGTGAAGACAAAACTAGTTAAAGAATTTAACACTCATAACCACATAAGGACTAATTGTGTCATGGTGCCCCCAACATGTAAAGCGGGTGCTTCTCTGCCTGGAAGCAAAGTAGTGCCACTGACAGAACTAGAGAGTTTGAAAGATAATTTCTCCTAGAGGAGGATACAATAAATTTGAGTTTTAAACATGGTGGGTAAAGTGAAACATGTATTTTGCAATGTGTAGCAGGCAGCTGAAAATCTTTGCAAGTAGGCAATTACATAAGATATCCCTCAGTTTATTACTGCTATAAATTAATGTCTATTTAATCTATTCAGTCTACTACATCTGTTATAACAAAAGAGAATAGTCATTATATATTTGTTACAACCATAGATGGAATAACACAAAGAGCAAACCATAAAGTATGGATTTTAGTTAATAATAATACTGTATCAATATTGGCTCATCAATTCTAACAAATGTATCACACATGCAAGATGTTTATACTAGGGAAAAACTGGGGAGGTAGGGAAAATAGGAACTCTCTGAACTTTCTGCTTAGTTTTTCTGAATCATAAAACTGTTCAAAAAAATGAAGTCTATTAATTAGTTTTAAATTATATTGGTGGAAAAATCCACCAGTAACCTATTGTGAGGCTACAACATCATATTACCAGTTTGCTCCCTCAATGAAGCTCCACTGGAAACATCTTTAAAAGGCACAAATGACTAAGTGCCAACCCAGATTTAGAGTGAATATTAAATTTTGCTTCTGGAAAAAAAAGTGAGAATGCTTTAAAAATCAATTTTTAGAAATCCATGAGAAATTTTTTAAAACCTTAAATTTTAAAAAGCGAATTACCTTGAAACTGATACAGGTTATTTAGCATTTTCTCCTGCTGAAATGTGACCTCTTGGTTATCAGCATTATTAGGGAGATTGGTCTTTGTACCTGACAGAGGTTTTGTACTACAACATTGATTGCAACATACACAACATATATTCACTGATTCTGTGATGAATGGCTGGAAAATATATGTACAAGCCTGCTGACATTCATCATATTGTCACCAATCCTAATGTTTAAATGCCTAGGAATTAAATATTTATTTCTAAAGCTAAACTGATTATATGGTAGTCCACTTGGGTCATTACAGTCAGAGTAATTAAATCAACCAGGGTTCAATGACCTTCACATAATAATGTAATCACATTTTCATGATATTAAAACAGGAAAATTGACTTGTCATTCATGTTTGCTTCCACTGACACTTCAAAAGTAGTTCTTTTTCTCCTTCTCCTCCTCCTCCTTCTTCTTTATTATGTTTTTTAAATTAGTTGCTGCATAACCACAGGGAAGTGAATGAAAACATATTTAGACCCTGACTTTGTTATCCCACAGCTTTAGAATATTGGAGTGTCAGAACTTCTAGGATTGACTTAATTATTTAATTTCAGTGGGTCTCAACTGGGAAGCTCCACCCATCCCCAACTCTTTGAAAGCCATTGCTATAATCCAAACTCTTTATTTTAAGACGAGGATGCTGCGGCCCAAAGAGATTGGCTAATTTGGTCAAGCTCTGTAGTGACAGATCTTGGACTTGAATCCATTTATCTTGTTCTATACAGCATCCTCCTTTTCATATCATGTTACCTTAGGTCAATTGATTCAGTTCTGCATACACTTGTGCTTTATCAGCAAAAAGCAAACACATTAAAATGGGCTGATTGCTATAGCCCCTTATAAATTCTAAGATTCCTTCAGTAAACTGTGTGTGGGTATAAGGAAATAAATGTAGGGGGAAGAGGTGGTAATATTTGGCTTCAATTGTTTTTTTCCTCTTTCCCTTCACTATACAGCAAACAATGAAATTGAACATATTTGATCCAGCATACCTATGGAAATTAGACTGTAGCTAGTCCAAAAAGTGACTCCTAGAGTCATCCTATATATCACTGCAGGCACTGTGAGGCTCTCATGAGATCTCATGTTTTACAGGTAGACTAGACTACAACTGGGTGGAAGGTGCCCACCCAGCTATTCCCCCAAAGTTTTCAATTAGCAAAATACACATACTGACAAGAAAGCTCAGTCTTAAAGTTCTGCTTATTTCCAGAGGACTCAGACAGTAAATAGCTGTTAGAGCCACCATTTCTATTTCACATGAATATAATTTTAGGTAATTCTCTTTGTACAAATTAAATAGCTTCTTTATGGCTGTCTTACCCTCTCAATTAGGGTGATAAGATCTCATGTTCCTTTCAGGGTTTTCAAGTCTGGGAGAAATTGTGGGAAGCCTGATAAATTACTCTATCTTGTGCCTGCCTCAACTCTATAGCTTATGTCCTGCATACTACAAGGGAGAATCCTTTTCAATGTACTTCCAATTTTGAGAAAAACAACAAACTTCCAGGAACCAAATTGCTGCCCTGTAGCCAACAGGCAGTTCCTGGCTTCTGACTCTAGTTTCTCTGTGTACCTCTAAATTGTGAAGATTAGTGGCATAGTAGAGGCAGGGTTTCGCCATGTTGGCCAGGCTGGTCTCAAACTCCTGACCTCAGGTGACCCACTCAGCCTCCCAAAGTGCTGGGATTACAGGCATGAGCCATTGCGCCCAGCCTTTATTTCATAGTAGGTCACTGTGGGCTGTCTTGCCTTGAGAAAAGGCCTTTGGATATGTGTACATTTCTGGTCATTCCCTGAGCCAAAGAATACGGCAGGAATTCTTAGAAACAAAGGTACATCTCAAACATCAAGTACAGTCATGCGCAGCATAACAAAGTTTCTGTCAATAAAGGAACACATATATGATGGCCCCACAAAATTATAGTACTGTTGAAAAATTTCTATCACTGGAGTCATCATAGCCATCATGATGTCATAGGTAAATACATTGCTCACATATTTATGGGGATGCTGGTATAAACAAAGCTACTATGCTGCCAGTAGTATAAAAGTATAACACGTACAATTATGTACAGTACAAAATACTTGATAATGATAATAAATTACTACTACTGGTTTATGACTTTACTATCTATACTTTTTATTGTTCATTTGGAGTGTACTCCTTATACTTATTTTTTTTAATGTTAACTATAAAATAGCCTCAGGAAGGTTCTTCAGGCGATATTCCAGCAGAAGGCATTGTTATCATAAGAGATAACAGCTTCATTTATGTTATTGCCCCTGAAGACCTTCCAGCAAGACAAGAGGTAGAGATGGAAGATCGTGATATTGATGGCCCCGATGCTGTGTAGGCCTAGGCTAATGTGTACGTTTGTGTTATTTTTAACAAAACAATTTTAAAAGTAAAAAAAATTTAAAAAATTAATAATAGCAAATAGCTCATAAGGATTAAAGGAAGAAAATACTTTTGTACAGTTGTGTAATATGTTTGTGTTTTAAGCTAAGCATTATTACAAGAGACAAAAGTGAAAAAATCTTTAAAGTGTATAAAATTAAAAGGTTACAGTAAGCTCAGGTTAATTTATTATTGAATAAAGAAAATTTTTTTATAAATGTAGTGTAGGCTAAATGTACAGTGTTTCTGAAGTCTACAGTAGTGTACAGCAATGTCCTAGGCCTTTACCATTCACTTACTACTCACTTATCAGTCACTCACTCACCCAGAGCAATGTCCACTCTTACAAGCTCCATTCATGGTAAGAGCCCTATACAGGTGTACCATTTTTTACCTTTTTACTGTATTTTCACTGTACCTTTTCTATGTTTATGTATGTTTAGACACACAAATACTAACCATTGTGTTACAATTACCTACAGTACAGTAACTTGCTTTACAGGTTTGTAGTCTAAGAGCAATAGGCTATGCCATATAGTCTAAGTGTGTAGTAGGCTATACCGGCTAGGTTTGTGTAAGTACATTCTTTGTTTGCACAGTGACAAAACCACCTGATAATGCATTTCTCAGAACATATTCCTATGGTTAAGTGATGCATGACTGTATTAAATGTTTGTATAATGTAACAGGAAATCCAGTATCTTGGGGAAAAAAATGAAATTGGAGGTACAATTTCCTTGAATACCTAGAAACCATTTTTTAAACAGGATCCCCTTAATGATTCACATATCTGAGATTGTTTATGTAATAAAACTAAGAGAGTAACTCAAAGTTACAGTTTATATAATTAGAAATCGAATTTACTAAAATATTACTAATTTCACTTACTCCACAATGTTACATACACATGCACTCCAAGAGAAAAAAAAATCATGAAAAGATTGCTTCAAATACATTTACTTTTTTTACTTCAAGATAATAACCACAACTAGCAGGACAGGATATGAAGAAGCTTCAAAAGCATCAATCAGTTTCATAGTTAGCAGCATCACCTTTCTTTGGAAAACTTTTTTTTTTTTGAGGTAGAATATGCCCTTGTCCTGAGCAAAGCTGACAAAGAGAACTGAATAGACAGGATGGCAGCAATGCCTGCCTTTTCTCCACGGAAGGGAAGACTAGGGGAAAATTGTCTAGCACTCACTCCTTCACCTGCTTCCCATCCCCAGATGCCTCTTACTGTTTTGCCTTGTGTTTTCCCTCTAAACTTTACTGTTTGTATAGATAGGCAAAAAAAAAAAAGTACTTCTAATCTTGCCGCAAACACTGAACAATTAAACTGGATTTTGTAGAACTGCTTGATACCACTTCCTCTGGACCAAATTTTCAGGTTTAGGACTTCTAAAGAGAGGAAAATCTCAGTACAAGAATGCCTTTTAAATTACTCTTTTGTCTTCTCTCTATATGTTTTTTTTTCTACCATGCTTTATGGAAGAGGGAAATATGTAAATAAATATGGAATGTTTCATTAAGAGCACCATCAGTTATTTGCTTTTATTATTTGTTCATTTAACAAATATTTATTGAATTCATCAATGCATAATATTAGCTAAATGCTGAGTATGTATATGGTAGTCAACAAAATAGACAAGGTCATAATGAAGCTTATACTCCTGTGAGTTACACATTAAATTAAATAAACATTTGCTATGTGAATAAATAATCAGGTGTAATTAATTTACACTGTAAGGTCAAGGAAAAATTTTCTGAGGTAATGACACATATGAATATCTGAAAAGGGATCCTATTTAAAGAAGGCTGACTAGAGACTTCAAACATCTTCCCTCTCCAGAAAGCAAAAACAAAATTACAAATAGATAATCATACCACAAACAGAACATCTAGGAGAGAACATTGGAGTCCAACAGATAAGTCATGAGAAATACCTAAAGCACAGAAGGAAAAGGAAGCAAAAGGCTAGCTTGGCCAAACTGGCTGGGAGCCCAGGTGGGTCTGGTATTGCAAAGAAAAATTAAATGAGAGAAGATTACTTGTCCCCATCCCCACCATGTACTGCTATGATCTGAACTATGGGAGAGCTTCTCTATTCACACTAACGCTGCCACTAGCATGGGTGGCGATTTGGAGACTCCACATGAGGTCATTGCACCAGACAGGGAACTCATGCTGGGTCACTCACCTCCCTGAGACCTAAGCAGCTGCAGCAGGCTGTCATTGTGAGAGCACAGCAGTGATGGGGCTACATCTTGCCCTGGGAACCACAGATCTCATATATCTACATATTGGGAGCTCCAAATGACATATCCCAGTATCTACCTGGAGGGCTACAGTGCCACAGTGCTGGCTGGACCCAAAGGTGCTGCAGGGTCCCTAGTACCTTATCCCACAGGGAAATGACAATGCTGAACAAAAAAGGCAGCCCCTGGGACAAAGGAAAACAAAATACATACTTTTCAGAGCGTGAGAGCTCCCTCTCTGTGGCTGTGAGAAACGACCTCACCCCTAGCTGTGGCACAAACTCTGCGCTCAGCCATGGAGAGTGAGATCTCCTCTCACCAGAGGAGTGGCCTCTGTGCTAAGGCTCACCCACAGAGAGCAGAACCCTTTCTCCTCCTTTGTACACCACAATATTATTGATTGGTAGGCACAGCCACTACTGCTGCCACTGAAGGCTGAGGTGGGTGGATTAGCATACTGTCTGTTTGAGCCTATGGGTGGTGACTGTATCCCCACTGGTGGTGTGGCCTTCATGCCTGGGCTTGCACATGAAGGACTGGGTACTTCCCCTCTGCATGGTGCTGCAGC
Source organism: Homo sapiens (assembly GCF_000001405.40). Classification (NCBI taxonomy): domain Eukaryota; kingdom Metazoa; phylum Chordata; class Mammalia; order Primates; family Hominidae; genus Homo; species Homo sapiens. The sequence continues at coordinate 111,036,172 of NC_000003.12, forward strand.
ACTTCTGTTGTCAAGAGCAGTGAACCTGAGAGCTGTGTGTCTGAGGCTGTGGATGGTGATCCTGCACCATGGCAACCGCCAACATCAGCATGTAAAGCTCAGGACCCAGAGGGTCATTATGCCGCTCTACTGCCATCACCCAATCCATGCCAGCTACTTACGGATCCAAAAACCTGCTCACCCATTTGGTCCACTGCTGCCACTACCAGCATCTGAGCAAGCCACCTGTAGGTCCAAGAATTTGCCTGCCTGATCCAAATATCCCCAGTGCCAGTATAAATACCATGGCGCCTAATGCCAGGCATACTCAGCCAATCACTGTCACAACTGGGGCCCAAAGACTGGCCCACCTGGCACCCCTGTCCCTGGCAAAACTTCACTACAGCCTCCGTTAATAACCCCAACTGAAATCACTGAAGAATGACAGATACCGCTGATAGTGATAATAGACAAAGAAACCATACAGAGACTACTCTACTACATATACCCAAAATCAAAGCCAGAGCACCCTACCCAATCAATAATATTGATATACCTTCAGGAAAAAGTCCTCCCCTGTGGAGTCAATCCAAAAAATTGAAAGAAGTATCTATTATACCAGATGTGCAGATATCAAAGTAAGGAAAGAGGAAACATGAAAAAGTAAGAATATATGACAACTTCAAAAGAATATAATAATTCCCCAGTAATAGATCCCAATCAAAAAGAAATTCTTGAAATCCTAGAAAAAGAATTCAAAATTATGGTACTAAGGTTCAGTGAGATACAAGAGAATTCTGAAAAACAATGCAAATAAATCAGAAAAAGCAATTAAGAATATAAATGAGAAATTTACCAAAGAGGTAGATACTATAAAAAAGAACAAAACAGAAATTCTGGGACTGAAGAACTTCTTCAATAAAATAAAAAATATACTCAAAAGCTTCAACAATAGACTAGATCAAGCAGAAGAAAGTATATCAGAACTTGAAGATGGGTCTTTTGAAATAACCCAGTCAGACAAAAAAAAGAAAAAAGAATAAAAAAGAATGATAACAATCATCATGATACACAGAACATCATAAAGCAACCAAATATACAAATAATCAGTATCTCCAGGCAAAGAGAGAATGAAAGGGTTGGAAAACCTATTTAACAAAATAACAGATGAAAAATTCCCAAGTCTAGCAAGAGATTTAGACACCTATATACAGGAGGCCCAGTGATCCACAAACAGATAAAATGAAAAAGGTTCTTCTCCATGGTACATTATAATAAAATTGTCTAAAATCAATGACAAAGGAACATTCTAAAAGCACCAAGAGAAAAGTGTCTCATTATATAAAGAAGCCCCTATCAGATTAAGCACAGAGTTTGTAGCAGACACTTTATAGGCCAGGAGAGAATGGAAGGATATATTCAAAGTGCTGAAAGATAAAAATGGCCACCCAGGTATACTATATCCAGCAAAAATCTTCTTCATAAATGAAGGAGAGATGTGGTCTATTCCAGATAAGCAAATGCTGAGGGAATTCATCACCACTAGAATGACCTTACAAGAAATGCTCATAGGAGTTATAAACCTTGAAGCAAAAGGATGACAGTTTCCATCAAAAAGCACACAAAAATGTAAAACTCACTGGTAAAGGAAACAAACAACTAAGGAAGACAGTAGACTCAAATGGTACCATTGCAGAAAATCAGCAAAACACAAGGAATATTGATAAGAGAAAAAAAAAAAGAAATGAAGACTATAAAAACAACCAGAAAACAACAATGACAGAAATATAACAGAAAACAACCCTTGCATATCAATAATAACTCTGAATGTAAATGAATTAAATTCTCTACTTAAAAGACATAGACTGGATGAATGAATTTTCAAAAAACAAACATCCAGTTATATGCTGCCTACAAGAAATGCACATTACCTGTAAAAACACGTAGACATGGAAAGTAAAGGGATGAAGAGATATTTCATGCAAACAGAAACCAAAAGTGAGCAGGAGTAGCTATACTTAGATGAAACAGGCTTTCTGTCAAAAACAGTAAAAAACAAAAACAAACAACAAAACCATGAAAATGAAGGTCATTATATGATAAGGAGACTAGTCCGGCAAAAGGATATAACCATTCTAAATATATATGCACCCAACACCAGAACACACAGATTCATAAAGCAAACATTATTAAATATAAAAAGAGAGATAAACTGCAATACAGAAATAATGGGAAACTTCAACGCCCCACTCTCAGCTTTAGACAAATCATCTAGACAGAAAATGAACAAAGAAACATTGGACATAAGCTGGACTTTAGATCAAATGGGCTTAATAGACATTTACAGAATATTCTACCCAACAATGGCAGAATACACATTCTTCACATCAGCCCATGGAACATTCTCTAAGACTGATCAGATGTTAGGCTACAAAACAAGTCTCAACAAATGTAAAAATCATATCAAGTATCTTCTCAGACTAAAATCAAATAAAACTAGAAATCAACACCAAGAGGAACTTTGGAAAGTATATAAATATATGGAAATTAAACAACTTGCTCCTGACACCTGTTGAGTCAACAAATAACATGGAAATCAAAAAAAGAATCTTGAAACAAATGAAAATGGAAACATAACACATCAAAACATGTGGGACACAGCAAAAGCAGTACTAAGAAAGAAGTTTATAAAAATAAGCCCCTAAGTTTAAAAAAACAGTTTTGAAATAATCTAATGATACACTTCAAGGAACTAGAAAATTAAGAACAAACCAAACCCCAAATTAGCAAAAGAAAAGAAAGAAAAAAGTCAAAGCAGAACCAAATGAAATGAAGACTAAAAAATAATATAAAGGATCAATAAATTAAAAGTTGCTTCTTCAAAAAGATAAACAAAATTGATAAACCACTGTATTAGTCTGTTCTTACACTGCTAATAAAGACATACCTGAGACTGGGTAATTTATAAAGTAAACAGGTTTAATTGACTTACAGTTCAGCATGGCTGAGGTCTAAGGAAACTTACAATCATGGCAGAAGAGAAAGCAAACACAACCTTCTTCACCTGGTGGCAGAAAGAAGTGTCAAGCAAAAGGGGGAAAATCCTCTTATGAAACCATCAGATCTCGTGAAACCCACTCACTATCATGAGAACACCAGCATAGGGGTAACCACCCCCATGGTTCAATTACCTCCCACTGGGTCCCTCCCATGACATTTGGGGATTATGGGAGCTACAATTCAAGATAAGTGTGTCCCCAACCAACTATCATCTTGAATTATAGTTCCCATAATCCCCATGTGTTGTAGGAAGGACCCAGTGGGAGATAACTTAATCATGGGGGCGGTTTTCCCCATACTCTTCTCATGTTAGTGAATAAGTCTCACAAGTTCTGCTGGTTTTATAAGGGGTTTCTCCTTTCCCTTGGCTCGCATTTTTCTCTTGCCTGCCACCATGTAAGAGGTGTCTTTTGTCTTCCACCATGAGTATGAGGTCGCCCCAGCCTCTTTTCCTTATAAATTACCTCTTTTCTTTATAAACCTCTCTTCTTTATAAATTACCCAGTCTTGGGCATGTCTTTATCAGCAGTATGAAAATGGACTAATACAGTAAATTGGTACCAAATAGTGGGGTACTGCTATAAAAGTACCCAAAGATGTGGAAGCGACTTTGGAAATGGGTAATAGGCAAAGGTTGGAATAGTTTGGAAGGCTCAGAAAAAGACAGGAAAATGTGGGAAAGTTTGGAACTTCCTAGAGATTTGTTGAATGGCTTTGACCAAAATGCTGATAATGCTATGGACAATGAAACCCAGGCTGAAGTGGTCTCAGATGGAGATGAGAAACTTGAAGGAACAGGAGTAAAGGTGACTCTTTCTATGTTTTAGCAAAAGGAATGGCAGCATTTTGCCTCTGCACAAATTGAGATCTGTGGAACTTTGAACTTGAGGGAGATGACGTAGGGTATCTGGCGGAAGAAATTTCTAAGTGGCCAAGTGTTCAAGAGGAAGAAGAGCATAAAAGTTTGGAAAATTTGCAGCCTGACAATGCAACATTCTCATGGGAGAAATACAAGCCTGCTACAGAAATTTGTGTAAGTAACAAAGAGCCCAATGTTAATCACCACGACAATGGGGAAAATGTCTCCAGGGCATGTCAGAGACCTTTCCAGCAGCCCCTCCCATCACAGGCCTGGGAGCCTAGGAGGAAAAATGGTTTTGTTGGCCAGGCCCAGGGCCCCCCTGCTGTGTGCAGCCTAGGGACTTGGTGCCCTGCATCCCAACTGCTCCAGTTGTGGCTAAAAAGGGCCAAGGTAAACTTCAGGCCATGGGTCCAGAGGGTGCAAGCCCCAAGCCTTGGCAGCTTCCACATGGTGTTGAGCATGCGGGTGCATAGAAGTCAAGAATTGAGGCATGGGAACCTCCACCTAGATTTCAGAGTATGTATGGAAACACCTGGATGTCCAGGCAGAGGTGTGCTGCAGGGGTGGACCCCTCATGGAGAACCTCTGAGCAGTGCAAAATGGAAATGTGGGATGCAAGCCTCCACACAGAGTCCCCACTGGGGCACTGCCTAGTGGAGCTGTGAGAAGAGGGTCACCATCCTTCAGACCCCAGAGTGGTAGATCCTGGAAAAGCCACCAGGCACCTGGAAAAGCCACAGGCACTCAACACCAGTTTGTGAAAGCAGCCAGGAGGGGGGTTATACCCTGCAAAGCCATAGGGGTGGAGATGCCCAAGCCTGTGGGAGCCCACCTCTTGCATCAGCATGACGTGAATGTGAGATATGGAGTCAAAGAAAATCATTTTGGAGCTTTAAGATTTGATTGCCCACTGGATTTTGGACCCGCATGGGGCCTGTAGCCACTTTGTTTTGGCCAGTTTCTCCCATTTATCCAATGCCTGTACCCCTATTGTATCTAGGAAGTAACTAACTTGTGTTTTATTTTACAGGCTCATAGGTGGAAGGGATTTGCCTTGTCTCAGATGTGACTTTGGACTGTGGACTTTTGAGTTAATGCTGAAATGAGATAAGACTTTGTGGGACAGTTGGGAAGGCGTGATTGTTTTTGAAATGTGAGGACATGAGATTTAGGTGGGCTCAGGGGAAGAATAACATGGTTTGGCTCTGTCCCCACTACAAATCTCATCTTGAATTTTAGCTCCCTTAATTCCCATGTGTTGTGGGAGGCACCTGGTGGGAGATAATTGAATCATGGGGGCAGTTTCCCCCATACTGTTCTTGTAATAGTGAATAAGTCTCACAAGATCTGGTCATTTTACAAGGGGTTTCCTCTTTCACTTGGCTCTCATTTTTCTCTTTCCTGCTGCCATGTAAGATGTTCCTTTCACCTTTGACCACGATTGTGAAGGCTCCCCAGCCACATGGACCCCCTGTGAGTCCATGAAACTTTTTTTTCATAAATTACCCAGTCTCATGTATGTCCTTATCAGCAGTGTGAAAACAGGTTAATACACCATATGAACCACTAACTAGACTAACCAAGGAAAGACCCAAATAAACAAAATCAGAAATGAAAAAAAGATAATATACCATTATCAAGTGTGATTTCAGAGATGCAAGGATGGTTCAACATATGCAAATCAAATGTGACATAACAACAGAATGAAGAACAAAAACCATATGATCATCTCAATAGATGCAGAAAAATCATTTGACAACAGTCAGCACCCTTTATGATAAAAACGAAAAAACTCTCAATAAATTGCACATGAAAGGACCATACCTCAAAATTAAAAAGACCATATGCAACAACCCCACAGCTAACATCATACTGAATCAAAAAAGTTGAAAGCCTTTTCTCTAGAATTTGAAAACTAGGATGCCCATTTTCACCACTCCTATCCAACACAGTGCTGGAAGTCCTAGCTAAAGTAACCAGACAAGAAAAAGAAATAGAAAGCACAAAAAATTGGAAGAGAAAAAGTCAAATTGTTCTTTGCAGATGACATAATCTTATAGCTAGAAAAAACAAAAGATGACTCAAAAAACTCTCAGAACTTATAAACAGGTTTACTAAGGCTGCAGGATGCTAAATCAACATACAAAAGTCAGTAGCATTTCTACATACCAATGGTAATATAGCCGAAAAAGAAATCAAGACAATCGCATTCACAATAGCTACAAAAAAAAAAAAAAAAAAAGAAAGAAAAAGAAATATCTGGAAATAAATTTAACCAGAGCTAAAAGATCTCTACAAGGAAAACTACAAAACAATGAGGAAAGAAACTGGAAAGACATGAACAAATGGAAAGACATCTCATTCTCATGGTTTGAAGAATTACTGTTGTTAAAATCAGGGGTCCTCAACCCCTAGTACTGGTCTGTGGGCTATTAGGAACCAGGCCACACAGCAGGAGATAAGCCACAGGCGAGCGAGCATTACCGCCTGAGCTCCATCTTCTGTCAGATCAGCAGCAGCATTAGATTCTCACAAGAGCATGAACTTCATTGTGAACTGCACATGCAAGGGATCTATGTTGTGTGCTCCTTATGAGAATCTAATGTCTGATGATCTGAGGTGGAACAGTTTCATCCTGAAACCATCCCCCCTCCCCTGACCCTAGTCTGTGGAAAAATTGTCTTCCACAAAACTGGTCCCTGGTGCCAAAAAGTTCGATGACTGTTGGTTAAAATGTCCATATTACTCAAAGCAAGCTATAGATTCAATGCAATCTCTATCAAAATGCCAACATAATTCTTCAAAGATATGGAAAAAACAACTTTAAAATTAGTATGGAACCCAAAAACAGCCTGAATAGCCAAAACGATTCCTAAGCCAAAAGAACAAAGCTGGAAGCATCACATTACCTGACTTCAAAACATATTACAAGTAACCAAAACAGCATGGTATTGTATAAAAATAGACACATAGACCAATGGAACAGAATACAGAACCCAGGTATAAAGCCACATATCTACAGCCAACTGATCTTTGACAAAGTTGCCAAGAATATACATTGGGGAAAGGGTACCCTCTTCAATAAATGGTGCTGGGATAACTGGATAAGCATATGTGGAAAAACGAAACTGGGCCTTTGTCTCTCTCCTTATATAAAATCAATCAAGATGGATTGAAGACTTAAATGTAAGACCCAAAAGTATAAAACTACTAGGAGAAAACATAGGAAAAGCTCTTCAGAACATTGGTCTAGGCAAAGATTTTATGGCTCAGACCTCAAAAGCACAGGCAACAAAAACAAAAATAACAGGACTACATTAAACTAAAATGTCTCTGCACTGCAAAAGAAATAACAAACAGAGTAAAGAGACAACACCCTTTTTTTGTTTGGTTTTAGAGACAGGGTTTTGCTCTGTCACCCAGGCTGGAGTGCATGGGCACAATCATAGCTCACTGCAGCCTCAAATTCCTGGGCTCAAGTGATTCTCATGTCTCAGCCTCCCAAATAGCTGAGAGTACAGTGTGTGTCACCACATCCAACTAGTTTATTTATTTACTTTTGTAGAGACAGGATCTTGCTATATTGCCCAGGCTGGTCTCAAACTCTGGCTTCAAGTGAACCTCTCATCTTGGCCTCCCAATGCACTGGGATTACAGGCATGAGCCATTGTGCCTGGCCCTAACCTCTTGAATGGGAGAAAATATTTGAAAATTACTCATCTGACAAGAGACTGATATCCAGGATATACAAGGAACTCAAATATATTAACAGTTAAAATAATAATAATAATCCCATTAAAAAATGGGCAAAGAACATGAATAGACATTTCTCAAAAGAGAACATCTGGATGGCCAACAGGTATATGAAAAAATGTTCAATATTACTAATCAACAGGGAAATGCAAATCAAAAACACAATGAGATATCATCTCACCCCATTTAGAATGGTGATTATTAAAAAGATGAAATATATCAGATGCTGGCACAGATGTGGAGGAAAGAGAATTCTTACACACTGTTGGTGAAAATGTAAATTAGTACAACCACTATGGAAAAGAATACAGAGATTTTTTCAAAAAAACTAAAAATAGAACTAATATACTATCCAGTAATCCCACTACTAGGTATCTACACAAAGGGAAAGAAATCAATATTTCAAAAGGGTATCTGCACTCGCGTGTTATCATAGCAGTATTCACAATAGCAAAGATATGGAATTAGCCTAAATGCTCATCGATGGACAAATGGATAAAGAAAATGTGGCATATGTATACAATGAAATGTTATTCATCCATAGAAAAAAAATAAGATCATGTCATTTGCAGCAACATGTATTGAACTGAAGGTCATTATGTTAAGTGAAATAAGCCAGGCACAGAAAGACAAATACCTCATGCTCTTACTCATAGGTGGGAGCTAAAATATTTGATCTTGTGGACATATAGAACAGAAGAATAACAGAAACTGGGAGGGAGGCTGGGGGAAATGAAGAGATGTTGATTATGGGTACAAATATACAGTTAGATGAGATAAATAAGTCCTAATGTTTGATAACAGACTAGGGTGACTAAGCAATAATATTATGTATATTTCAAAGTAACTAGAGGAGAGGACTTTAAATGATACTAACATGTAAAAATGATAAACACTCAAGGTGGTGAATACTCCAAATAGCCTGACTTGATCATTATACATGCTGTGAGTTTAACACTCAAATGTACCCCATAAATATGTAAATTATTATGTATAAATAAAAGGAGGCGAAAAGCAAAAAAAAATTTAAAAATTAAAAAATATTTGAGGATGATTCTATATATTCTCAACAAATTACTCTTCTAAATCTTCTGATACAATATTATCTCTGAGCAAGTCTACATTATCTGGAAAATGAATGTTATAAAAAAGTATAAACATTTATTTGTAAGAAAAGAAATATTAAGTTTTTTAGGATTGAAACCAATTTCATCTAGCAAAATTGCATTTTCTAGTACTATGAGAGAAGACCCCAAATAAAATACCTTATTATTTGATGTTAATGAGGCATACTAAATAAAGTGACAGGGTAAAGAAAAAACCACTGGGTCAGATACACTTTCCTTTAGATGTGTAAGAAAAGGTTTTAAAATCTCACTATGAATGAGAGTGGGAATCTGATTAATACTATAAACAGACTCAAATCCTTTTATATCTGTGTTGTTACTGCAACAGAGTGGACACAAAACATAAAAACATGAAAAAGTAATTTTTCCAGGTACTGTCTTTGTTAAACTTTAGAATTTTATTATAAATTCATGAAATACAGTCTACCTCAAAGGAGGCCCACATTGGACCCACCCCTAGTGAAATGACTAAATTAACAAGATAATGCATTTATAACTTGCTTCCTTGTTCATAAAATGCTTACATATATATTAATATTTCACTTGATTCTCAAACCAAATTTTGAAGTAGGTAGGCATTATTGTCCATTTTCAGATTTCAAATTATGTATGTGCTCACTGAAAATTAGTGAGTGGGGAAACTGAGCTTCAAAACTTGGTATTCCGACACCAAAGGCTATGGTCTTGCTGTTGCATCACCCTGACAACCCTAATCGTGAGTCAGAGGGCCTCTGAGTCTGTGCCTCAGGATTCCGGAGTAGATGAAGGTTTCACACAGTCAAGTATCGGCTAGACAATCATACTTTCTGTCACGTAACTTCATGAAGTCCAAGGGATCAGAACCTCATCTCATCTTTATTTTCTTCAGAGATCCAGTATAGGCTCTCACATTCAGAAGCAGAAGAGCAGATCAATCTTAAATTTTAATGTGGTTTTGAGGCCCTTTGTGATTCGTGCCTGTGGAGACAAACTTGACTAAGGTGAAACCCACAGTTTCACAGATGCATTTCTGCCATGAGTATATTTCATAAAAAAAAGAATGCAAAAGAAAGAGGACAGAAGTCCCTGAATAAGGCAAAACCTTGCAAGTGATGGGGTTCAGGACATATTACCCCAAAATACGTCACCTTGGCATTTGAGAAAAATAGCAGAAGCAGGAAAGTTACTCTCTGACCTTCTCCCACCCTCCTTCCCTGAAGCAAGGTCAAAAGACCCACATCTTAGAAGTACCATTCCTGTTCCTGGAGATAACAAACATCCTTGTCTGTGAAGACCCAGGGACATATTACCCCAAAATATGTCACCTTGGCATTTGAGAAAATAGCAGAAGCAGGAAAGTTACTCTCTGACCTTCTCCCACCCTCCTTCCCTGAAGCAAGGTCATAAGACCCACATCTTAGAAGTACCATTCCCATTCCTGGAAATAACAAACAACCTTGTCTGTGAAGACCCAATGATACAGAGAAGAATCTGTACAAACCTGCCTTGCTAACCCACTTAGTCTAATCATACCTCTCCATGACTATCCACTTCTCCATTAAACCTAGCATACAATACACATAGGTTTACCTGTTCTTTGGATCTTCATTTCTTTATGAAGTCTCCCATATCACATAAACTTTATAGTAAATACATATTTGTGATTTTTCTCTTGTTAACCTCTTTTTTTTAATAGAGGCCTCAGCCATAAAACTAGCAATGGGTGAGAAAAGAAATCTTTTCTTCTCTACAAGCCTGTTTCCTTATGTATAAAGTATAAAGAAGAGGATTAAACCCATTTAGGTCAAAAAATTATCTGATTCAAAAAGTACATTGGCCTAATCGTATTCATAAGCAATAAAAGAAGTACTGTACACATTTCAAGCTTCTGATTTTATTTTTTAAAATAGCATTATCTTTGTGTGCCAATGAAGATATGTAACAGTACAAATTTTAAATATATTTTGCTGTTATCAGTTTACTGTTTATTATTAGTTTACTATTTACATGATTACATAATTTGTTGCAAAATGCTCTGTGTTTTCATAATTCTTCACAAGTGTGGGTCCTAGTCAACGTAATGGGACTTTTCCATTGGACCTACATGGAAAGCCAAATAATTTTTTGCATTGTAAGAATGTACAAGTTATACTCCCATAGTAATACATACAGAACTACTGGCCTATCACTGAAGAATATCTAAAGGACTATCAATCAAGTCCTCAGTCTGCACCCAGCATAAAGAAAATTCTTTTTCAATGAGAACTCTGAAGAAGCAGCCTTTTCATTGTTGCTATTTCAATATAACTGTGGGAGGCAATGCTTGGGCACTGACTGGGAACTACCTCCATAAGCATATGAATAAAGTAAGAGGTTTTTAAAGCACTTTCTAAGAGGATTTGCAAAAACAGACTTTCTGGGAATGAATATTACCTTCATTTTCAATAGGAGGCCATGTTATCATAATAAAAATAAGCTATTGGATCTTCTCACATATATTATAATTTTAAGAGTTTTAAATAACAAAAGGGACTTAATACATCTGAAGATTAAATTACTGAGAAATGACATTTATTTTTAACCTTAAAAATTAGTATTTTAAAAGGCATTTCTAGTGAACAGAAACAGAGTGCTATATTCAAGGTGAAAAGCTTAAAAATAGTAATTATTTGTTTTATGTCCTTCAATTTTTAACAGTTAATATGTCAAGAACAGCAAATATACACATTCTTTCTACTCAACATTGTAATAATTATAAATCAGCATGATTCAGGATATAACAGTTCTATTTCTAAGTTTGGCTTAAATGGTAGAATATTTTTTAAATCCAGTTTAGTATATTATTCTTTTTAAAGTTCCTTTAAGAAACATCTCAAAATAGATTCTTATTATACTGAATTTAACATGAGTAACAAATGAGTTAAAAGGAGTTTGCAAGCTGACAACTTGTTTATAGATTTTACAGATAGAGCTTAAACTAGTCAGGATCTTACAAAACTTCTGAGAACTTAGGAAAACCAAACAGGATTTGTGTTGCTTCTGTGTAAGCAAATCTTTGTAAATTTGTTCATGTCTCTTTGTGACAGATGATGGCAAACAGTCAAATGGTACTTTTCCCTACCAGGGTGGCACTTCCTGGCAGCTTAATCACCCATTTTTAGGGTGTTCTTCCACTCATAGAGATCATTTTGCCTTCAGTCTTCCTCTTAGCAAGAAAAGTGAACATCTCATTTTCATTAACCTTTTTGTCTCACCCCAGCCAGCTAAGAGTTGATGGTGAAATATCAGACAACTGAGCAAATAGAAATCAGTTTTGATCTCTAATGCCTAACCTTTACTTGGCCCTTAATACTGCCTTGCAATTTTACACTCCTGTAGTCAACTCACTCTCCTATATTCACAATAATTATTTCAAACTTCTACTCATCTCTTATACTCTCATTACTTTGCATCCTCCCTTAAAAAAAAAGCGTCATTCAAAAAATTTCTTCAACCCTTCAACTTCCTGCACCAAATCAATGCTACAACTCCCCTGTATTCTTTCTGATCTGTAAAAATGGAGGAAGTGTTTCCTCTTACATGCAAGGCCGATCTCTCCACTATTCTGGCATATATTCCTTTATATATTTCCAGGAATCTCATGCTTTTTGCTCAAGTTTTAACTGTTTTCAGTAAGCAACATATTTAAATGTCTAAAATTGAAAAATTACAAAGGGATTATGACAGAAAATTTCTTTTTTATTTCTAGCCCCAGTCATCTATCTTCTCTTAGGGGCAGGTATACTGCCGGAGATATTCTACGCACACCTAAGTAAATCCATACAAATATTTTCTCAAGCTTAAAAAAAAAGCAACACACTTTATACACTGTGGCATATCTCGTTTTTTTCACTTAAAATACATCTTAGACACAATATTAATTCACAAAGTATTGATTCATTCTTTTTAAATTGCATAGTATAAATTAGGGATGTTGCATAATTTATTTAACCTGACCCTATTGATGGACATTTACATTGTCTCCAAACTTTTACTATTATAAGCAACATTGCAATGAATATTTGTGTACATTATTTCACATATCTGAAAATATGTTTATGAGTTAAATTCCTATTAATGGGATTACTTGGCTAAAGGGTAAACGCCATTGTAATTATGATAAATATTGCCAAATTATCCTCCGTAGAGATCAAATCAAATGACAGTCCCACCAAAAATGTATGAGAGTGTAGGGGCCATGTGAAAACATCCCCTTTGCCCTCTGAAGGTTTGCTGAAAATCACTAAGAGGCAGGCTAAAAGGAGAAAAGGCATATAAAATTATTTGATTATACTTTTATGCATATGGGAGCTTTCAGAATGAATACCCAAAGAAACAGGGAAAACTGTCTATTTTTATTCTCAGGTTAAATGAAGTATGTACAGCCATGTAGAAATATGACTGAACACAAAGGATATTATCTAATGCTAATAGACTGAGTGGGGAAACCCAGTAAGGCCTGTCTGCCTAGATTCTTGACCTCTCGAGCATGCATTTCTTCCTTCTGGACATGGGGCAGGACCCCCTCTGGAATGGAAGTCTTATGCCCTACAATCAAACAAGACAAGTCAGATAATTTCTTTATGGCCAATTTTTACACAGAAAATGGGGGCATGGGGGCAAACTGGAGTAATATTTTTAAGTTTTATGGCTGGTTTTAGGGGAAAGGGTCTCTGGTTTCTGTGATCTGCCTTGGGAAAAGTGGATTCTAGTTGTGGCTAGCCTCAAGGAAGAATGAAAGGCCAGAGACAGGAGGGGAGGAGAAGGTCAAAGAAACACCTTTGCTTCTGAGGCTACTCCTGAAGCCTTCATTTTGGGGTATTGTTTTCTAAGCCCCAACAAGCAGTAAAACTCACCTAACACAAGGCCATCACAAGGGTTTTGCTGATTTCATAATTTTAATTAATATTTTGCCTATTACAAATTGAGCCTCTTCAAATATTTAAAATCCATTTCTGATTGCTTTTCTCTGTTCATATCCCTTTCCTATTTTCTCATGTTATACTTTTAGAAAATTGAATTGTAGACATTATTTATATGTAAAGATGGCTTTTGTAATGTGTGTTGTATTTTTTTTTTTTTTTGCCATGCAGGAAATTTTTTATAATCAGATTTATTAAAGTTTTACTTTGATGACTTCTGGCTTTTGTTATATACTTGGAAAATCCTTTTCTAATCCATGATTACAAAAAAACCTGATGGTTTCTTCTATTACTTTTGTAATTTATATTTTGAAGTTTTCTTCATATAAATTTTACGTATTTCTTGTTAAGATCATTTCTAGGTATTTTATCATTTTTATTGGTATTGTAAGTGGATTTTGTCTTTTATTAGATCTCCTAACTCACTGTTGTTTCAATATATGAGGGCTGCTAATTTCTGTATACAAATTTTTTAGTCAGTCACCTTATTGAATTCTGATCTTAAAAAAATTGTCTTAAGATTTTCACAAATATATTACTTGAAAATTGTAATAATTTAACCTCTTCCTTTCTCATATTTAAACCTCAAAATTCTTTTTTCATTTTCTATGTTTGGTATCCTCAGAATAATGTTAGACAATATTGTAATGGTAAGCATTCTTGTCTTGTTACTCAGGTAATCTTATATCTTAAAACACCTTCTAACTTCCTAATATTATTAGCTTCTCCCTACTTGCTATATCTTTTTAATCTTGAAAAACTCTCTGTGGATGTCATGCTGACTTGCAGCCACTGCTCTCTCACCTTTCTTTTAAATGTCTTGGAAAAGTTATCTACAGTTGACCCTTGAACAACATGGGTTTGGACTCCATGGGTTCACTTACACGTGGATTCTTTTCTGCCTCTGCTAACTTAGAGACAGCAAGACCAACCCCTCCTCTTCTTCCTCCTCCTCAGCCTACTTAATGTGAAAATGATGAGGATGGAGACCTTTACGATGATCCACTTCCAGTTAATAAATAGTAAGTATACTTTATCTTCCTTATGATTTTCTTAATAACCTTTTATCTGGCTTACTTTCTTGTAAGAATAAAGTATGTCATACATATAACATACAAAATACCTGTAAATCAATTGTTTATGTTATCAGTAATGCCAACAGTAAGCTATTAGTAGTTAAGTTTCAGGAAGTCAAAAATTACACGTGGAATTTTGACTGTGCAGGGAGTCAGCACCCCTAACTCCTGCATCGTTCAAACGTCAACTGTATTCTTTTTTTTTAATTCTTCTCAAATTCTCATCTTCCATTTATTCCACCATTAGTTTCAACCTAGCTTCTGTTTCCATTACTAGGTAGGTCAGGTGCACTGACCTGTGAATAATGTGGCCCTCAAGAAAGTCTTTTGTGGTGGTGACAGTTGCAGGGAAACTGAGTTTCAGAAGTGATCATGGCAGCAGTGTAAAAAGTGGTGTCTAATGCATAGTTCAAGTCTTCTCCCTGCTGCCAAATGTGGCAGCTAGTGTCCATTGGCTGCATCAATAGTATCTTCTCTTGATTACTTCTGCAACATTTGGTTGGGCATTGTTTCTGCTGCTGGACTCTAATGTGGTTTACCACACCTCTCAGAGATTTAAAAAAATACCTAACACCCTTTAAACAAATTCAGTGTCTGTTTATATTAGCAACTGTTTGGTTTCTGTTACTTGCTCTTGCTGAGATTACCAATGTATTCATTCAATCATAGTATTCAACATAATTAATTACTTCCTCTTTCTAGAAACATTCTTGTCCTTCAGTTTCTATGATGCCACATTTTAATTTCCCTTTTTCCTTTCTGGCCACTTCTCATTTTCTTTTTCTGGCACTACCTTTTCTTCAGCATGTCATTTAAATATTCCCATTTCTTAGGATTAGACCTTATTCTTCTCACAATATGCTCATGTCCTAACAGATCTCACATATTTACATGGCTGCAAATATAATCAATTTGCTGATGACTTCTAAACTTACTTCGCAGCATAGATTGATGTTGAGTTCTACATCTACATATATAACTATACTCAGCATATCTGCTTGTATATCTCATATGCAATTTGAACTCAAAGTTATGATATTTGTCCCTAAAATTGTCTTATCTCAGTGAATTACATCATCATCTACCCAGTGCTCATGTCAGAAATCTTAGAATCATCCTTTACTTTTTCCATCTTACCCCCTAAATCCAACCAAGCCCCAAGTCCTATCAATTTCTTTTCAGCTCTGACAACTTCTCCACTTTTATCACTTTGGATCTAACTACCATAATTTCTTATTTGAATTCTTATATCCACTATTGAATTCACTCTTATTTTCACCAAATCCATTCTCTTCGTGGCAAATTGCTCTATTTAAAAATGGAAAATTGATATCTCTTCTCTATTGTGAATCCTTCAATGGGTTCCCATTGCTGTTACAATGAAATCCAATATACTTCATACAACCCATAAGAATATCCTTTACCTGGTCCCTTTTGACATCATTAGGCTCTTATGCCATTACTCTATCCTGTATTAGTCAGTGTACAGCTGGAAAAACAGAATCCAAGAACCGTTTCAATGAATGAAATATTACCTGGAGGTCAGGAAGCTGTTATCCCCTTCCACTAGCCTTTACTTTCCTTTGATATGTTGGAGGCACTGTGCCTATTTCTGCTGCCTTGTAACAGAAATTAATATGAAATGTGTTTACCAAAGACTTAACAAAATGTAGTTTGCAGGCTTTCAGCTCCTGTGATTGAGAGGGGAACACAAATAAAAGGCATATGTTCCTGCTCTAATTTTTCAAATTAACCAAACTTGGCTTCTAAACCCCTCTATCAAGACACACACACACACACACACACACACACACACACACACACACAAGCACTTTCCATAGGGTTAATATTAATTTATCCTTTGGGTCTTAGCCTAAACAACAGTTCATCAACAAAGCTATTTTTGTCCACAAAATATTAATTTTGTTCCCTCAGGTGTATCTTCTGGCACCCTGTGCCTTTCCTCAGAACATTCATAAAATTGAGACTAAATAATTAAATGCATGATATTCATTTAATATCTACCATTCATGCCAAACTGAAAAGTCATAGAAATGGAAGACATATATGACTTATTCATTGCTACAACTCCACTGGATGGAGCATGGAAGATGTGGAATAAATATTTGCTGAATAAATGCAGTGTATCTTCTATTAGAGTATTCAAAAGCGCAGTTCCTTCATTTATTGTTAATAATCCCTTCAGGGACAAAAACTGTTCAGAATGGTTATTTTACCATAGGCAAAGAGTCCCTTTCTCAGGGATTTCTCTTATGTTATACAGAAATTTACCAAAAAGTGACATATTCATTGTGATGATTAATTTTAGGTGTCAACTTGACTGGACTAAGGCATACCCACAGAACTTGTAAAGCAATACTTTTAGGTGCGTCTGTGAGGGTGCTTCCAAAGGAGATTGGACTGTAAGTCAGTGGACAGAGTGGAGAAAATCTGCCTCCATGTCGGCAGGCACCATCCAATTGGCTGGAGGCCCAACAGAACAAAAAAGGACAGAAAAAGATTTCCCCTCTCTCTCTCCTGGAGGTTGGATGCTCTCCTCTCTCTGTCCTTGGACATCAGAACTCCAGGCTCTCTAGCCTTAGGACTCCAGGACTTACACCAGTGGCAACCCCACCTTGGATTCCCAGACCTTTGATCTCAAACTGAGAATTGCACCACCCACTTCCCTGGTTCCAAGGCTTTTAAACTTATACTAAGCCATGATGCTGGCATTCCAAAATCTTCAGCTTGCAGATAACCTGTGGTGGGACTTCTCAGCTTCCATAATCACATGAGCCAATTCCTCTAATAAATTCTATCTATCTATCTATCTATCTATCTATCTATCATGTACCTATTTATCTATCTATAAATCAATCATATATCTACCTATCTATTTACCTACCTACTTACATATGTATGTATCCTACTGGTTCTATCTCTCTGGAAAACCCTGACTAATATAATTGTATTGGAAGCATGAATGCCTAGATATTTTTCAATAATCGAATATATTTCACATTAATTTAAGTAACCATGAAGATAGTTATGAAAATAGATAGATAGGAAAGGAGTCCCAAAAAAGAGAATAATTAGAGAGCAAAGATTCCCTCTAATCTTGAGGTTCTAGCACATCTAGTTACAGAAACACAACAAAATCTGTGAAAACAGATTTTCACAGATTTGAAGACAACAAAATATAAAAACAATGAAATCTGTAATGTTAGCACATTGGGATGTCAAGGTGCAAGTCCAGGAGTTTGAGACCAGCCTGGGCAACATAGCAAGACCCTGTCTCTACAAAAAAATTTTAAAAATTAGTTGGACATGGTGGGGCACACCTTGGTCCCAGCTACTGGGAATATGAAATCAACAAAATCTGTTTACCCAAATATTCACATACATTTTATGCCATAATGATATTTTCAAATAGTGAATGGCAACAGCTGAGCATTAAAGTATTTGATTATGAAACAAATGGAACTGATTCCCTTGACAAGCTGGCTGATAGTGCTCCTATTTAATTCTATCTACTAGGTCAACTCTTTTGGCTCTTTATTCCCATAACAAAAAGACTCTAGGGTACAAGAGGGCAGCTGAACTATCAGCAGACTGTTATCTTTGAAGCTGGGTTCCTGATTCTGAAATTCAGTGTTGGATCTATTTTTAAGAGGTGAATTGTATCTATGCTCTTCCATCTTCAGCTGCTTATAATATAGCCATTTATAGGTTCTGATTTGTTGGGGAGGGTGGAGATAATGTTACAGTCAACAAACTTTGAAATTATTGCTGAGAGAGAGGAAAGGGTGACAAGAGAAGTTACATTAGTGTTAGTAGAAGAGCTGAGGCCGGACTGGCTTGTCTGCCATAATATAAAAGAATCTTGGAAGATGTCTGGAGTCCAGGGTCTAAAACCCCTCGTGGCCTTTTAAACACCAAGCTCTGTGCCAAAGGATGGAAGGCTGTCCTGCCACATCACAAATCTAAGCCAAGGTCATAGCACCCCTCATGGCTTGGAAAGAATCCAGGGCTCAGGGCATAAAACCCCTCGTGGCCTCTGAAATGTGCACAGACTTGTTGGTTGCTCTCCCAGGCTCATAAACATGTTTTCCATTATCTCAGGTAGCAGAGCATATTACATATGCGTCAAAGAAAATGCTAAACCGTCACAGCTATGCTTGATGCACCGCTACCTTTCTACCACCATGTCCTCATGTCCTCATGTCCTCAGCTGTTTATCCCCACATCCACACATCCTCACCACCTGCTTCTTTGATCACCAATAAATAGTGTGGGCTCCCAGAGCTCAGGACCTTCACAGCCTCTATACCAGCATTGGCCCCTGGATCCATCTTATGCACTCTTAACTTGTCTTTTCTCATTCCTTTGACTCCACCAGACTTTGTAGCCCCCACGGCCTGGTGTTGGGTCTGATCACCCCAACACATTAGAAGGTAATTGATGTAGTTCATCTAGGAATGCTTTTTTCTCAGAGAAATAAGCAGTGTTATCCAATGAGACTGTATGCGCTAAGGAAATGGATGGAGGCTTGAGGAGAAAGGGAAAAATTTGAAGCAGTCACTGTAAAGGCTTCAAAAAGATGACTATAGATTCTTGTATAGCTTTGAGAACCTGAAGAGAAGTTTGATACCATGAAATATCAGGAATTACAATTGGCACCTTGTTGAGATTTTATGAAGCTACTCCTGATAGGTATGGCAGGAGTGCTGAATGCCATTAGTGGGGGTTAGCAAAGCACACAAGGGCTCATGAGCACATTATTGAAAAGTTTAACATGAAGTCCAGTCTGAATATAAAGGCAGAAAAGCTAAATGGGAGTAATGGATTTGGAGATAAGTATTGGAAGACAAAGACAAAATTGGAAGACAAAGAATAAATTTAACAGTGATGATAAATTGGTAGGAAAATAGGAGGCTAGGATAGAAAAAACTCTTAAATGAGAAATTCCTACTGAGACCAGAGGTTCTCAGGAGATTGAAAACAACTGATTTTTTCAAGGACTTCAAGTAGAAGCAAAATTAAAAAAATAGACAAAGAAGTCCAAAGCAGGGGAGGGGGGTTGTTGAAGAAGGGCTACAAACAATGGTCTAGAAGTAGATTACCCAGCCCTATTTCAAGCAACATGGGTTGAAGAAAGTGGAATAAATAGAAGCTTTCTTTTAGAAAAGGCTGCTGAAGATCTTAAATTTTAAGATAAAAATTCATGTTTCATTTAGTTTGAGAAGGTAGAGTGAGATGTTTGTTTATGGTAGAACAGGGTCCTTAAGGGCCTTATGAGGAAAAGAAAGAGACTACTCAGGAATGGAGTGGGCCTAGGGCCTAGGGAGGCAAGCTAGATAAGGTAGTTAGAAATAAACTGAGTTTTGATTTCCCAGGCATGATGGCCGAATAGGACCAGCTCCGGTCGGCAGCTCCCAGTGAGATCAACACAGAAGGCAGATGATTTCTGCATATCCAACTGAGGTATCTGGTTCATGTCACTGGGACAGGTTAGACAGTGGGTGCAGCCCACGGAGGGCAAGCTGAAGCAGGGTGGGGTGTTGGCTCACCCGGGAAGTGCAAGGGTTGGGGAACTCCCTTCCCTAGACAAGGGTAGCCATGAGAGACCGTGCCAAGAGGGAGGGTGCTATCCAGCCCAGATAACTATGTTTTTCCCATGGTCTTCACAACCCATAGGCCAGGAGATTCCCTCAGGTGCCTACAGCACATGGCCCTGGGTTTCAAGCCCAAAACTGGGCGGCTGTTTGGGCAGTCATCAAGTTAGCTGCAGTAGTTGTTTTTTTGTACCCTAGTGGTGCCTGGAATGCCTGTGAGACAGAACCGTTCACTCCCCTAAAAAAGGGGCTGAAGTCAGGGAGCCAAGTGGTCTAGCTCAGCAGCTCCCATTCCCACGGAGCCCAGCAAGCTAAGATCCACTGGCTTGAAATTCTTGCTGTGAGCACAGCAGTCTGAAGTTGACCTGGGATGCTCAGGTTTGGTGGGGGGAGCAGCATCTGCCATTACTGAGGCTTGAGTAGGCAGTTTTCCCCTTACAGTGTAAACAAAGCCCCCAGGAAGTTGAGACTGGGCAGGGCTCACCACCGTGCCGCAAAGCCAAGGTGCCCAGACTGCCTGTCTAGATTCCTCCTCTCTGGGCAGGGCAGCTCTGAAAAAAAGGCAGCAGCCCCAGTCAGGGACTTATAGATAAAACTCCCATCTCCCTGGGAAAGAGCACCTGGGGGAAGGGATGGCTGTGGGTGCAGTTTCAGTAGACTTAAACGTCCCTGCCTGCCGACATGGAAGAAAGCAGTGGATCTCCCAGCACAGTGCTCGAGCTCTGCTAAGGGACAGTCTGCCGCCTTAAGTGGGTCCTTGACACCTGTGCCTCCTGACGGGGGGGACACCTCCCAACAGAGGCCAACAGTTACCTCATACAGGAGAGCTCTGGCTGGCATCCGGTGGGTACCTGTCTGAGATGAAGATTCCAGAGGAAGCAACAGGCATCAATCTTTGCTGTTCTGCAGCCTCCGCTGGTGATACCCAGGCAAACAGAGTCTGGAGTGAACCCCCAGCAAACTCCAGCAGAACTGCAGCAGAGGGGCCTGACTGTTAGAAGGAAAACTAACAAACAGAAAGCAACAGCATCAGCATCAACAAAAAGGACAACCACACAAAAACTCCATCCGAAGATCACCAACAGCAAAGGTCAAAGGTAAATAAATCCACAAAGATGAGGAAAAACCAGCGCAAAAAGGCTGGAAATTCCAAAAACCAGAATGCTTCTTCTCTTCTAAAGGATCACAAATCATCACCAGCAAGGGAACAAATCTTGATGGAGAATGAGTTTGATGAACTGACAGAAGTAGGCTTCAGAAGGTGGGTAATACCAAACTCTCCTGAGCTAAAGGAGCATGTTCTAACCCAATGCAAGGAAGCTAATAACCTGGATAAAAGGTTAGAGAAATTGATAATTAGAATAACCAGTTTACAGAAGAACATAAATGACCTGACAGAGCTGAAAAACACAGCATGAGAACTTCATGAAGCATAAACAAGTATCAATAGCTGAATCGACCAAATGGAAGAAAGGCTATCAGAGACTGTTGATCAATTTAATGAAATAAAGCATGAATACAAGATTAAAGAAAAAAGAATGAAAAGGAATGAATAAAGCCTCCAAGAAATATGTGATTATGTGAAAAAGACCAAACGTACGTTTGATTGGTGTACCTGAAAGTGATGGGGAGGATGGAACCAAGTTGGAAAACATACTTCAGGATAATATCCAGGACAACTTCCCCAACCTAGCAAGACAGGCCAACATTCAAATTCAGGAAATAAAGAGAATACCACAAAGATACTCCTCAAGAAGAGCAACCCCAAGACACGTAATCATCACATTCACCAAGGTTGAAATGAAGGAAAAAAATGTTAAGGGCAGCCAGAGAGAAAGGTCGGGTTACCCACAAAGGGAAGCCTATCAGACTAACAGCAGATCTCTCTGCAGAAACACTACAAGCCAGAAGAGAGTGAGGGCCGATATTCAACATTCTTAAAGAAAAGAATTTTCAACCCAGAATTTCATATCCAGCCAAACTAAGCTTCACAAGTGAAGAAGAAATAAAATCCTTTACAGACAAGCAAATGCTAAGGGATTTTGTCATCACCAGGCCTGCCTTACAAGAGCTCCTAAAGGAAGCACTAAATATGGAAAGGAAAAACCGGTATCAGCCAATGCAAAAACAAACCAAAATGTAAAGACCATTGACACTATGAGGAAACTGCATCAACTAATGAGTAAAATAACCAGCTAGCATCATAATGACAGGATCGAATTCACACATAACAATATTAACCTTAAATGTAGATGGGATAAATGCCCCAATTAAAAGGCACAGACTAGCAAATTGGATAAAGAGTCAAGACCCATTGGTGTGCTGTATTCAGGAGACTCATCTCACATGCGGAGACACATATAGGGTTAAAATAAAGGGATGAAAGAATATTTACCAAGAAAATGGAAAGAAGAAAAAAAAGCAGGGGTTGCAATCCTAGTCTCTGATAAAACAGACTTTAAACCAACAAAGATCAAAAAAGACAAAGAAAGGCATTACATAATGGTAAAGGGATCAAAGCAACAAAAAGAGCTAACTATCCTAAATATATATGCACACAATACAGGAGAACCCAGATTCATAAAGCAAGTTCTTAGAGACCTACAAAGAGACTTAGACTCACATACAATAATAGTGGGAAATTTAACACCCCACTGTCAATATTAGACAGATTAACGAGACAGAAAATTAACCAGGATTTTCAGGACTTGAACTTAGCTCTGGACCAAGCAGACCTAATAGACATCTACAGAACTCTCCACCCCAAATCAACAGAATATGAATTCTTCTCAGCACCACACAGCAATTGTTCTAAAATCGACCACATAATTGGAAGTAAAACACTCCTTAGCAAATGCAAAATAATGAAAACCATAACAGTCTCTCAGACCACAGTGCAATCAAATTATAACTCAGGATTAAGAAACCCACTCAAAACCACACAACTACATGGAAACTTAACAACCTGCTCCTGAATGACTACTGGGTAAATAAGCAAATGAAGGCAGAAATAAATAAGCTCTTTGAAACCAACGAGAACAACGACACAATGTGCCAGAATCTCTGGGACACAGCTAAAGCAGTGTTTAGAGGGAAATTTATAGCACTAAATGCCCACATCACAAAGCAGGAAAGATCTAAAACTGACACCCTAACATCACAATTATAAGAACTAGAGAAGCAAGAGCCAACAAATTCAAAAGCTAGCAGAAGACAAGAAATAACTAAGATTAGAGCCAAACTGAAGGAGATAGAGACACAAAAACTCTTCAAAAAAAAAATCAATGAATCTAGAAGTTGGTTTTTCGAAAAGATTAACAAAATAGATAGAACACTAGCCAAAAGAATAAAGAAGGAAAGAGAGAAGAATCAAATAGACACAATAAAAAATGATCAAGGGGATATCACTGTGGATCCCACAGAAATAGAAACTACCATCAGAGAATACTAATAAGCACCTCTATGCTAATAAACTAGAAAATCTAGAAGAAATTGATAAATGTGTGGACAAACACACCCTCCCAAGACTAAATCAGGAAGAAGTCAAATCCATGAATAGACCAGTAACAAGTTCTGAAATTGAGGCAGTACTTAATAGCCTCCCAACCTAAAAAAGCCCAGGACCAGAAGGATTCATAGCCGAATTATACCAGAGGTACAAAGAAGAGCTGATACACTTCCTTCTGAAACTATTCCAGACAAAAGAAAAAGAGGGACTCCTCCCTGACTCATTTTATGAGGCCAGCATCATCCTGATACCAAAACCTGGCAGAGACACAACCAAAAAAGAAAATTTCAGGCCACTATCCCTGATGAACATCTATGTGATAATACTCAATAAAATTCTGGCAAACCGAAACCAGCAGCACATTATAAAGCTTATCCACCACAATCAAGTTGGCTTCATCCCTGGGATGCAAGGCTGGTTCAACATAGGCAAATCAATATACAGAATCCATCATAAATAGAACCAATGACAAAAACCACATGATTATCTCAATAGATGCAGAAAAGGCCTTGGATAAAATTCAACACTCTTCATGCTAAAAACACTCAATAAACTAGGTAATGATGGACTGTACCTCAAAATAATAAGAACTATTTATGACAAACTCACAGCCAATATCATACCGAATAGGCAAAAGCTGGAAGCATTCCCTTTGAAAACCGGCAGAAGACAAGGATGCCCTCTCTCACCACTTGTATTCAACAAAGATTGAAAGATCTGGCCAGGATAATCAGGCAAGAGAAAGAAATCAAGAGTATTCAAACAGGAAGAGAGGAAGTCAATTTGTCTCTGTTTGCAGATGACATGATTGTATATTTAGAAAACCTCATCATCTCAGCCCAAAAACTCCTTAAGCTAATAAGCAACTTCAGCAAAATCTCAGGATACAAAATCAACGTGCAAAAATCACAAGCATTCATATACAGCAATAATAGACAGAGAGCCAAATCATGAGTGAACTCCCATTAACAACTGCTACAAAGAGAATAAAATACCTAGGAATACAACTTACAAGGGATATGAGGGACCTCTTCTAGGAGAACTACAAACCACTGCTCAAGGAAGTAAGAGAGGACACAAACAAATGGGAAAACATTCCATGCTCATGGGTAGGAAGAATCAATATAATGAAAATGGCCATACTGCCCAAAGTAATTTATACATTCAATGCTATTCCCATCAAGCTACCATTGACTTTCTTCACAGAATTAGAAAAAACTACTTTAAATTTCATACGAAATCCAAAAAGAGCCCATATACCCAAGACAATCTTAAGCAAAAAGAACAAAGCTGGAGTCATCATGCTACCTGGCTTCAAACTACACTACAAGGCTACAGTAACCAAAAGAGCATGGTACTGGTACCAAAACAGATATACAGGCCAATGGAACAGAATAGAGGCCTCAGAAATAACACCACACATCTACAACCATCTGATCTTTGACAAACGTGACAAAAACAAGCAATGGGGAAAGGATTCCCTATTTAATAAATGGTGTTGGGAAAACTGGCTAGCCGTATGCAGAAAACTGAAACTGGACTCCTTCCTTACACCATACACAAAAATTAACTCACGATGGGTTAAAGATTTAAATGTAAGACCTAAAACCATAAAAATCCTCGAAGAAAACTTAGGCAATACCATTCAGGACACAGGCATGGGCAAAGACTTCATGAATAAAACACCAAAAGCAATTGCAACAAAAGCCAAAATTGACAAATGGGATCTAATTAAACTAAACAGCTTCTGCACAGTAATAGAAACCATCATCAGATTGAACAGGCAACCTACAGAATGGGAGAAAAATTTTGCAATATATTCATCTGACAAAGGGCTAATATCATGAATCTACTAGGAACGTAAACAAATTGAAAAGAAAAACAAAGAAGCCCATCAAAAAGTGGGTGAAGGATATGAGCAGACACTTTTCAAAAGAAGACATTTATGCAGCCAATAAACATGTGAAAACAAGCTCATCATCACTGGTCATTAGAGAAATGAACATCAAAACCACAATGAGATACCATCTCATGCCTGTTAGAATAGCGATCATTAAAATGTCAGGAAACAACAGATGCTGGAGAGGATGTGGAGAACTAGGACCACTTTTACACTCTTGGTGGGAGTGTAAATTTGTTTAACTGTTGTGGAAAACAGTGTGGTGATTCCTCAAGGATCTAGAACTAGAAATACCATTTGACCCAGCAATCCCATTACTGGGTATACGCCCCAAAAATTATAAATCATTCTACTACAAAGACACATGCACATGTATGTTTATTGCAGCACTATTCACAATAGCAAAGACTTGGAACCAAGCCAAATGCCCATCAATGATAGACTGGATAAACAAACTGTAGCACATACACACCATAAAATACTATGCAGCCATAAAAAAGAATGAGTTCATGTCCTCTGCAGGGACATGGATGAAGCTGGAAACCATCATTCTCAGCAAACTAACATAGGAACAGAAAACCGAACACTGCATGTTCTCACTCATAAGTGGGAGCTGAACAATGAGAACATATGGGCACAGGCAGGGGAACATCAAACACTGGGGCCTGACATGTTATGGGGGGCCAGGGGAAGGATAGCATTAGGAGAAATACCTAATGTAGATGACAGGTTGATGGGTGCAGCAAACCACCATGGCACGTGTAACCATGTTACCTATGTAACCTATGTAACCAACGTGCACGTTCTGTACGTGTATTAAACTTAAAGTGTAATAATAAAAATAAATAAACTGAGTTTTATGTTAAGGTTCTTGAGTGTTGGTCAAAGAAGTTAAGGTAAGGGGATTGGGGGATGGATTGGTTTTCTACTGCTGCTATAACATTACCACAGATCCAATGGCTTACAACACAAATTTATTATCTTATAGTTCTGTTGGTTAGGAGTCTAACACAGATATCACTGGCCGAAATCAAGGTATGGGCAGGGTTGTATTCCTTTCTGGAGGCTCTAAGGGGAAGATGTGTCTTTACTAGTTTTTTTTTTTTTTGAGATGGAGTCTTCGTCTGTTGTCCAGGCTGAGGTGCAATGGCGAGATCTCAGCTCACTGCAACCTCAAACTCCCAGGCTCAAGTGATCTTTCTACCTCAGCCTCCAGAGTAGCTGGGACCACAGGTGTGCACCACCATGTTCACCTACTTTTTAAAATTTTTTGTAGAGACGGGGTCTTGTTATGTTGCCCAGGCTGGTCTCAAACTCCTGGACTCCCACTCTGACCTTCCGACATGCTAAGATTACAGATAGGAGGCACTGCGCCCAGCCTGCCTTTTCAATCTTCTAGATATTGCCATATTACTTGCTTCACTGTTCCCTTCCTCTATCTTCAAAGCCAGTAACCTGTGTCTTACTGACCATTCTTCTGTGGTCACATCTCTTTTACTCTTGTCTTCTACCTTCCTCTGACTTTTAAGGACCCTTGTGATTACATTGTGCCCAACTGGATAATCCAGGATAATCTCCCTATTTTTAAGGTCAGCTGATTGGTAATCTTAATTCTATCTGCAAACTTAATCCCCTTTTGCCATATATTGTTCACAGGTTTGGGGGATTAAAATGTAGACCTCTTGGGGAGTGTTATTCAGGAGGTAAACTGCAGAGGTTTGTAAACAAAAAAGAATGATGCTGAATTAACACAATCTGGTTAATGTAAGTCAGAGTTTATCAGAATTGGTTTTGAGATTTCAATTGGATTGTTGGCAACATGAGCCTAATCAAAATTCCACTCCCGGGCTGCTATGATTGATATGCAATTTCTAAACGTATGTTTAAAATACTAATACAGCTTGGGTAACATAGTGAGACCCCCCCCCCATCTCTACAAAAATTAAAAATCAGCAGGTATGGTGGTACATGCTGCTAGTCCCAGCTACTTGGGAAGCTGAAGTGGGAGGATCATTTGAGTTGGGGAAGTCGAGGCTGCAGTGAGCTATGATGGTGTCACTGCACTCCAGCCTGGGTGACAGAGCAAGACCCTGTTTCAGAAGTATAATAAAATACTAATATTAATATTACTGATAATAAAACTACTACCACACCTAACATTTCTTGGGCTTTATATATTAGGCCCCTTTTAAACTAATTATATGAACTAACTTTCTCCTGAAATATGGTGAGGAAGAAATAACCATTTTCCCTATTTTCACATGAGGAAAGTAAGATAGTAACTTGCCCAGGGTTACAAGATGAGGATTTGAACTGAAACCCAGGCAATGCGGATCCAGGGGTTTTACCATTACATTATACTCCTTCTGTGTGTCTCTCTGGGTTGGGGGGCATGGCGCGTCTGATGAATATCCGCTTTGGGTTAGATATGAAAGGGTACAAGTTAGAAACAATGCTTTAGGTGATTAATTAGGGCAGGATCTTTTGAAATACCCATGGGGGAAGAAGTGGCTTTTTACTGTACTGAACCTACACAGACACCAGACTTCTTTAGTTCAGTTCAATCTAAATACAACAGCAAAACCATCTACTCTTTTCTTTTCCCTCTCTTCCTCTCTTCAACAAATATTTTTTGGTTATTGACAATGTTAAAATAAACTGCACTGGACATTACATAAAGCTGGTTAACTCAGACATGAGACTCCAAGGAACAATATTTAGCGGAAGTAAATGATAAAATCTGCCCTAAAATTTTGCTCAATAATTTGTAAAATCATCAATTGCATTATTGTAAACCTTTGTCATTTGGTTTTTCCACCCCTATTTTCTTCTCTATGTTCTGTCTTCTAGTATCTCTCTGCCTCTACCCATATTTTCATTACCTTCTTTGAGTGCTTTTTTTTCATCACTTTGCTCTCATGCCTTTTGTTTTTTGTTTCTCTCAGTTGTCTAGATTATTACCTCCTAGCTAGCCACACCATATATTCAACCCACTCTGGAAATAAACTATTTTATTTTAAAATACTAAAATTCCCCTGAATTCATTTTCTCCTTTCCATCTGCTTTACCACTTTATTTCATCCATGAATGAAAGTTCCGACCTTCATTCACTCTGCTCCTTACAACAAGTTTTTTTTTACTAAACTCGTACTTATAATTCTCCCAAATCCCCCGACAATATATCCGTCTTCACATTTTTCTCTGACTTTTCCAGCAAATCTAATCTTGTCATTCCCCTACTCAAAATTCATTTGTCCTTATGATCGACCAGATAAAAATCCAAAGCCCCTTACAAGGTACAAGCAATCCCTACCTACCCATCTAACTTCATTTTTACCTTATCTCCCAATTCCCCTTTGTGTGGTACTCTCTAGCAGCACAGGCATGCTTGTGGGTTACAGAACACATCGTACTTGGTCATGCCTCTGTAACTTTCCATCTATCATTCTCCTATTCCCTCTGCTGCTTTTCCTCCATCCATATGTAAAATTTCTAGTCATTCTTTAAGACTGTTCAAATATTATCTGTGCTGTGAAGGATTCCCAGTCTCTTTTAGGCAGACCTGAGAGTCCTCCTCTGCTCTCTCACATACTGTACATCCCTCCAATGTTTGCAAGAATATTGTTATTACTATTTGGAGTCAGGACTTGGGGTTTTCTATGTCCAGTACCTAACACAGACTCCAGTATATAGTAGTTTAATCATCTTTATTAAAGCTACCTACCCTATTATTTAACCTACCTACCATAATGATATAGTATAGCTCTTCTTTCTGCCTGCATATCAGTTTCTCGAACTATATTTTTTGGAACACCAGCACCTCTACAGGAGTTGTATACTATGAATAGAGTTAACCTTTAGATAGTTATGTAAAACGTAAGTTTGTTTTCATTGTAAGTTTAAAAGTCCAAATAATCTTTTCTCAAATAATTTTTAAAATTTCATCTGTTTGTACTGATACATAATAGATGTACATATTTTGGGGGGGTACATGTGACAACACATTCATGTAATTTGTAAAGATAAAATCAGTATAATTGGGATATCCATCACTTTAAATATTTGTTTTTTCTTTCTGCTAGAAACAGTTGAATTATTCTCTTCTAGCTATTTTGAAATACCTAATAGATTATAGTAAACTATAGTCACCCTAGTGACCTATCAAACACAAGGTCTTCTTTTTTCTATCAAATTGTATATTCCTTTCGTTTTTAATTTCATAATTCTCAAGTGCTAAGTTCATAAAAAAATCACCTAAACCATCTAAAAATGAGAAATTTATGTTTGTTTTACCATGACCTGGATGAGGAGCAACAACAAAAATACATAGCATATGTATATATTGCTGAAATGACAACATAATTACCTCCAAATTTACTTATTTCCAACCCATCTCTGCTAACCTGGATTACTGCCAATGAAAGAATAAATTTTGTTCATTTGCCTTGTTTTTATTTACATTAATTGATGGAGTTATGTTGGCTCTGTGATTTTAAGAAGCTCATCTTAGAAAAAAGTAACTGTTACAAGAGAAGATTTTGGGAAATAGTCACTGAAAAATAAGTTGAGGTCCAATCAGGAATACAGAAACTATACTATGTAACCAAGGGAATATTATGAAAATGTTACACAGGGATGGGGGGATGGTTCTCTAGATCAAAAAGGGAAGCACTGTGGTGACCTAGAGATATAAGCTGTGGGAAGCTGTTACTACCCTTAGAACTAGAAGGACAAAGGGGAAGGTTTGTGTTATTAGAACTCAGAAGTTTAGAGGAGCCATCCTCCTTAGCTGGGGCTTGGACCTCTGAGAAGTAGAAACAGCCTAGTTGGTGCTGGTACTTTTGAGGAGTCATGAGGACTCTGGGACTTAGAGTGTAAAAGAAGTGGGAGGCTGGAATCAGCTGCTAAAGACAGGATGACAGGTTATTACCACTGAGGTGATGCTGATAGCAAGAAGCAAATGGAAAGGAACAAGTCCCTTTTCTCTTACTCCAGGGGTCCACATTTCCTCCAGTGACCTCTATTGATAGAACCCGTCAGGAAGCCAGTCGGTAAAGGAGATACACAGTTTGCAGAGTCCTAGCACCAGCCTTACAAAACCAGGGCAGAACTATGAATACAGAGTGGAGAGATAATAGTTTAATAAACAGCACTAATAACAATTATATCAAGAGTGTTAAGCAATGGTCAGAGTAACCACCTTCCAGCTTAAAAAAACTATACATGATCAATCCTATTGTTCAAGACCTTAAAGAAGTATAAACCTCTACTGAATGAGACATGCACTTGAGTATGCTATGTCATAATAATCATTTAATCATCCAGTTTGGAATCTATATGGCAGACATTATTCTAGGTACTTGGGGTTTTTGTTTTGTTTTGTTCTGGTTTTGGTTTTTTTTGGGGGACAGGGTCTTTCTCCAGCTGCCTAGGCTAGAGTACAGGGATGCAATCTTGGCTCACTGCAGCCTCGACCTCCTGGGCTCAGCTGATTCTCGTACCTCAGCCTTCAAAGTAGCTGGGACTACAAGAGCACATCACTACACCCGGCTAATTTTTTTTTTTTTGTATTTATAGGAGAAAGGAGGTTTTGCTATTGATATGGTTTGGCTGTGTACCCACCCAAATCTCATCTTTAATTGTAGCTCCCACAATTCCCACGTGTTGTGGAAGGGACCTAGTGGAAGGTGATCGAATCATGGGGGCAGGTCTTTCCTGTGCTGTTCTCCTGATAGTGAATAAGTCTCATGAGATCTGATGGTTTTATAAAGGGGAGTTTTCCTGGACATGTTCTCTTGCCTGCCACCACTTTGCTCCTCCTTGCCTTCTTCCATGATTAAGGCCTCCCAAGCCATGTGGAACTGTGAGTCAATTAAACCTCTTTCCTTTATAAATTACACAATCTCAAGTATGTCGTTATTAGCAGCATGAGAACAGACTAACACAGCCATGTTGCCAGGCTCGTCTTGAACTCCTGGACCCAAGCAATCTGCCAGCCTTGGCCTCCCAAAGTGGTGGGATTTCAGGCAGGAGGCACTGTGCCTGGCCTACTTGAGTTTTAACAGTGAAAATATAGATACTTGCTTGCCCTTGTGGACTGTTCATTCTAGTGAAAGGGAACAGACAGTAAATTAGAGACATGTCAGATGGTAAGGGCAATGGAGAAAATAAAGCAAGTTAAGGGCATAGGGATTAGGGTGGGGGAAGCTCTTTCATATGATGTGGTCCTGGAGAGCCTCAATGATAAAGTTAAATTTTATCAAAGATTCAAAGGAAATAGGAGGGAGAAAGTCATATGAGCATACAGGGAAGATCTGTTCAGTAAGAAAGACTTGCATTTAATAAGAGTAAGGTTGGTGAACGTTTTGCAAGTGGATGGACTTTTCTGCGATTTTGCAGTTTGTTTTTTATTATTTGCATAATTCTCTTTACAAAAACTGTGATCCTAACTGGATAACATAAGCTTATTATCAAATATAGTACAAAGTTCAAATATTCTACAAAATATCATTCATCTCTTTTACTAAAGGAAAAGCTATGCGTCCTCACACAGCAGGTTATAGAATTTGCTGATGTTAAGAAGAATTAGCTGAAGTATATAATGTCTTACCTCTCCTGTAAAATACCTCCTTTGTTTCAGAGTCAGCTATGAAATTCTAATAATAGTCTCAAACTTTTCACTTGGATTATTTGAGTAAATGTAAAATGCCCAGCACTGTACATAATTACTTCTTTGTTAAGATGTCAACCTTTGTTTTTTAGTTAAGAGTTAATGAACCTTGATAATTGGCAAACAATCTTTGAGCCGAAAGTAGGATGGACACCATCAGTACTCTTAACCCAAAACAATGAAACTATTGTTGGCATTAGGATTACATTGCTTTCTGTTCAGATAATTTTTTTCTGAAAAAATGCATGTATACTTTGTTATTCAATGGTGTCAGAAATATTAATAAGTTAGCTATAATTAAGTATTCCTTAAACAGTTTGTTATTCAAACAATAAATGTGAACTTATGTATAAAGTTAGAAGACTAAAAATGGCATAGAACGCACTAATACTCTCATGCTAAAGGTTTTAAAAAAATTAATAGTATTTCTGCCCTTGAAAAACATGAGTTGTATATGTAATGTAAAATCTTTTTCTGTGGCCAGTAAAAATTTCCAACAGGAAAGCTTGGGGTGAGTATGTCTAAAATTCACTCATCTGAGGAGAATGTAATTTAAGATTGGGCACTTTTATTATAGAAAGTAGAAATTTGAGTTATCTTACTTTTTAACTTAAAGAATCATCTTGAGAGATCAATGGTGTCCACTGGAAGGCAAGAACTTGGTTCTGGCAGGAAAACCACCACTGGCTGGTAGTATTTGCAGAGCACTTAACCTCTGTGCCTAGGTTCTTGTAGCTGTCAAGTAGATAATAGTAATTGCTACCTTCCGTGGGAAGTGAGCTTGTGCTTTGACATCTTTAGTTGAAGATGCTGTATAAACACAAATTATTATTATTAGAATATAATACATATATGCACATAAAACACCAGCATGGTGCTCTTTTAATGCTTATATAACATCTATAAATAATGCTCTTCCATGCTCTCTCTTCACTTTAGGTCAGAGAATATCATAGCAGACCACTATTCAATTTCTGTAAGTATGGAGGAAATATATTTGTTAAAGCTCCATGTCATCTTTTTGAGACGAACTTAACCTGCTAATTCCTTATGGTCTCTGTAGCAATTGCCCGATGGCCCCTACCCAAGTTAAGCCTTTGGTATTTTTTGAAATGTTGGCTAAATTACTTTTCTTGGAGATGTGGAGCCATCAGGGAAAACCTGGAAGAATGAAATTGGCTAGTGATATTAAAATTTTGGTTGTTTAACATTTAACTGAGTCTCAACAACGTGTTAAAGTGCTATCTAAACAGATAATTAGCTAGTGGCTGCGCAGTGAGCTGTCTAAATTTAGCAGTGAAATTAGGTTTAGGGAATGCGAATATAGAAAAAGAAATTTTCTCAAGGGAAACGGTGGTGTCAGCACAGCTGAGGAATGTCACAATAGCTACATTTTGTCAATTATGATCATCATCAGGGGATCTCCCGGAGCGATGCAGGACAAGGTTTATTCATAAGTGCATCTTGAGAATAGGTGATAGAAAGCCTTGGCTGCAGGAGACAAGCTTACAGGGGACGACAGAGGCAGACAGGCACAGGGAGGGAGGGAAGAGGAAAGGGCTGGAGGGAAAAAGGCACTAGACCGAGCGCTGGGAGACTGGAAGGGAGGCAGAAGTTAAGAAAGAAAAAAGAGGTGGGCAGGGTGTAGAATGGCTTGTAGCCTTGGAGGTTAGTAAAGCCTTGTAATCCAGCGGGCGGAAGGTGGGAAGACCCTATTGACTGAAAGCCGAGGACAGCGTGGTCTTGGCCGCAAGCATGCATTAGTTTAGCTGCGACAGGCTAACTTCTGGGCGGCTGATCCTTGTTCAGCTTTCCTGTTACTGGAACACATTTATGGCTATCTCGTGGAGATGACAGGACCTACATAAAATTAATAGTGTCAGGCCTGAGGACTGGTGTCCTCTGCCTTCAATTCACCCCCTACGCTGGACAGTCCAAATTGTCCACCCTCCTACTCCCCCCGCGGAACCAATGTGGCAGTGGCTCCAAGGTCAAGCTGCCGGTACTGTGCGAGGCGGGAGGATGGAGAGGGCAGGGCGGAGAGCCACCTGGGATGAGCGAGGGTCATGGTGGACCACAGACGCTCTTCTTATACGGGCAAATGTTTAATACTTCCCGAGGTCGCCTCTCTGCCATCAAACGAAAACAGGCAAGAAAATAAAACTACACATACGAACATGCAAAGGAAACAAAACCAAAGAAAAACACCAACGCACTCGTTGGGGGAAATCCATGGCCTCCTGTTGCCAGTCGCCCGGCGCGGAAAGTGGACAGCCCAGCGGCCAGTGAGAAGCAAGAGCAAGAAAGCAAACCTTCTGAAGACCCCTCTCCTCGCCCAGCTCCGCCGACCATTCTACCAAGCTGCCCTCCCAGAAAAAAGAGCAGGAAAAATGCCTGTGCAAACGTGCCTTGGCGAGCGGGGAATAAGTGGGCTGGGAAGAAGGGAAGGATTCGGAGAGCACAGCTGTCCCGGGGAACAGGAAGGAGGAGAAAGTCTCTCCCTCCCTTCAGTGCCCCGCGCCCCAGCGAGGAGGAAGATTACTAGTCCAGCAGGCTGCGTCCAGCTTCCTACACAGGAACCTTTAGCATGGGCAACGGAAGGGCAGCCCCCTCCTGCCTTCCCCTCCCCACCCCACCCCCTCGTCCCAGGTCCCCGCCACAGGGAGAGCGCCGCCCGGGAGAGGAGAAGGCCGAGCGTGATTGTCCCGCAGCCCTCGCCTCAGTCGGCGCCGGGGCCCCCGTGGACCCGCGAGGGGTGGAGTGGGCGAGACCATTGGAAAGGCAGGGAAGGGGGGAAACCAGGCAGGAACGAGGGGCGGGGCCGACTAACCTATTCCAGATTTTCCTGTCCCTTTTAAATCTCTGCTGTGGGAGAAACCCCGTTATCAAAGTGGATGAAAAGAATATTTTTTTTTGAAAGGGGAGGAGCATGTGTAGGAGGGCGGGGTGGGAGGAGACAGGGCTTGCGCCCGGGGATCAGACGGGAGGTGGAGTTGCGCGGGGAGGGCGGGCGAGTCGGGCGCCCGCTCTGAGAGTCGGTTTCTTTTCCCCCTCTTGCGTGGGGCGGGGTGGTGCGTTCCGAGTTCCCAGGAGTTCGACGCGGGCGGGTGCCGAGGGGAGGGGAGTGGCGGCGGCGGCGGGCGGCTCCCGCTTCAGCCTCGGCAGTGGCGTCGGCGACGGCGGTGTCGAGGCAGCCGCCAGCGTTCGGCCAAGTGTCAGCCGGCAGCGACGGCGCTAGAGCTGGGAGCTGGGGACGCGCGCGCCGGACCTTCCACAGCCTCCGCCCAGAGCCTGAGGCGCCGGGGCCGGGGGAGCCGGGGGGCGGGCGGGCGAGCGGGCCGGGGGGAGGGTGGGGGATGGCGCGGACCCTGCGGCCGTCCCCGCTGTGTCCTGGAGGCGGCAAAGCACAACTTTCCTCCGCTTCTCTCCTCGGAGCCGGGCTCCTGCTGCAGCCCCCGACGCCACCTCCGCTGCTGCTGCTGCTCTTCCCGCTGCTGCTCTTCTCCAGGCTCTGTGGTAGGTGAACCTCGGCGGCCGGCGTGGGCTGAGGGAGCCGCCACTGAGGGTGCGGGCGCCGCGGCCGGCTCTGCCAGCCGTTCTCTGGAGCAGCGAGGCGGTTGGTTGTGCGAGCGAGTGCCGAGGACTTTGGCTGGAAACTTTTCGCCGCGCCCGGGGCGAGGCCCTGGAAGGGCCAGGCCAGCGAATGCTGAGCCGGCGGCCCGCTGCCCTCCCCCGCGGCCGCGCGGGTCGCCGTGCGGATGGCCGAGGGTTGGCGATGGTGCTTCGTGCGCCGAACTCCGGGTTTGCTCCGGGGACCGTTACTTCCTCGCTCATTCTCTGGGAACCCTCGTAGGTTAAGGTGCCGGGATGCACGTTTGCCGCTTTTTTTCCCGGTGAAACTTGAGCTGTGAGCCCAGAAACCCTAGGGACCGGAGCCCGATGGAATGAAGCCTCCGGGTCCACTTCTCATGGCCTTCCACCCTGGAGAAGGCACCATTTTAGCCCACCCAGCCGCAGAATCCCCTACAGCTAGTTTTCTTCTGTCTTGTGCCCACTCCCCCGGCTCTGCCCTGACAGCTTCTGGAGCTCTCTAGATTGACCCTCGTCCCTGCCCTCCAGCTTGTGGGACGTCTCTCACACTGCCCGTGCTTATTTTACCAAACCGCAGGAACAAGATTTACGTGTTAAATACCTGATTTCATGGACTGTGTGCCCCGGCTGTTCTAACCAAAACAGTCACGCGCCTGTTTCCCATCTCTTGACCCTCGTGTTATGTTACTGTTTTCCTGTCATATTTGGGAGTTAGTCTCTGAGTTTTCTTCCCAGGTATGCCAGACTAGAAGCCTGCTTATTAAGGACTGTGCTAAAAAAAAAAAAAAAAAAAAAGTCTGCCTCATGCAAGAGAAATGGACTTAAGTGGTAATTAATGGGAGGCAGCGATTTGGGAAAATAAGGACACCAGTCTTTGGTGGGAGGAGGAGTATCAGAACACTGCGAGTAGTTATTTATTTGAGGGCTCTTGGTAAGAAAAGTAGAGGGGCAGAACTTAAGCTTGGTCAAAGATTGGTTTTCAGTATTTCATAAAACCGTAAACTGAAGTTTTACTAGTATTTATTAAAAGGAGAGATGTGTGCACATTTCTTGAATAGTGTGATTTAGAAGGAGGAGAATCCTGTTACATGGTAGGTGAGTCAGGGTAGTTGGTTATGAGGGAAGCAAAGTTTGCATGATGGGATTGAGTGTCTCTTCTGGGCTGAGAATTTCCACTGACAGTTTACCACCACGTTTCCAGCACTGTAATGAAATCTGATTTACACAGAGTATAGTATGGTAAATGGAATGTTATTAATTGTACGCTGTTTCTGTATGCCGACTCCGCAGATACTTGGTTCCAAGACAAAGTTCTTAATGCTATACCTTTTTAAATTGATGCCAGAGTCTAGATTGAATTTGTGTGCTGTTCTATTCCATGAAGGAGAATTGGGGATGTTGCTTACAGTTGAGTGAGAGGACAGTTGGAGGGGACCTTACCAGTTTACTATCCTGACTTCGTTTATGTTAAGGACTGAGAGAATATTTATACCTCCACAGAGGCAGATCTAGTTAGGCAAAGCTCTGTGGAAGACTGAAGCCAGGTAATATGCATAGCTGATGCAGGAATTATTTACATGATAATTTCTTAGTGGTTGTGAAAATGAATTGTTGATTACTTTTTGAAGGAACACATTGGTTTTCACATGGAAGAAGAAAACAGTTTTAAAAAATCTCAATGTAGCATTGGAAGGACTTGATTTTTAATTCAGAGCTTAAAAACTTAAGCAGTGTAGGCAAATGGACTGTGTTTTAGAGCAGGTGTAGTGTTTAGAGTCAACTCTTCTTGTTGTAGAGGTAGACACTGGTTTTGTATTCCTGTGTGCTACTCATTTAAACAGCTTCCTTTTTTGGCTTATAGTGTTATAACACCCTAATTTGTGAACCTTTATGACGAGTTTTTTCCATCAACCTTTATTTTGGAATTAAGTCTTTGAATAGGGCACAGATGTTGTGACTTATGGAAGCTTAGTGGTATGGAAGCAAAATTTTCTTCAAGTAAGCTGTTAGTCTAACAAGTTGTTGATTTAACTACTGTTTTAGTTAATAGAGTTATAATGATGTTCATAGTACTGCTTACAAGGTTTGGCATGTAATTAATATTTGCGTGGAGCCAGTTTTAGAGTTGAAAAGATTTTTAAGCTTTAAAAATATGACTGTAGCTGATGATTTGTTGATGAGAATGCTTTACTTGTTTTATGACATATAGATTTTTCCTTTTGCTGCTATTTTTGATATTTTGATATGTTTGATATATAGCGTGGCCTTAACTTTATCGTGTTAATTTAACTGTTAAAAATATCCATCAAAACTGGTGGACCTGATATTCTGAAGGCTATAAAAATGTTTATATCAGACTTGCTGGCCGTTTGTTTTGGGGGTGTGCATTATCTTATTTGGAGAACTGAACTTTTAAAATGAGAGTTTTACAGGTTGTCAAATTGCCAGATTTTTTTTTTGTTTTTAAGCCTAAGAGATTCCTAGGTATAAGTGTCAAGGGGACTGGGCTTACGTCATCATCTGACTTGATAAACGTCATTTAATTATGAAATTCGAAGTTTCTTTATGATGGCAATAATCAATTCATAGATGATTAGATTTATCTCACTTTTACTTCCCACCGTTTTTTTTTCAGGGGACATAGAGAATATTATCATGGGTATGGTAATGATGAATAACAAGATAGACTGACCTTTGTAAGGTCCCATTTGGCTCTGAGATTCTATGCCTCTTTCCATTTTCAGCAAGGCTTCATCTTAAGATGAATGTTTAAAAGAGCACAGAAAAGAAGATCTGATATGATATGGAACTTTTAAAAGCACTTTGACTACTTGATAGGCACTTGGGGACATAACACACGCATAAGACAGAGTCCTGGCTTCAAGATGCTTGTAACTTTGGGTTCGACCTAAAGGAAACATGATTGTAGAACAGTTTGGTGTTTGTGAGGTATTTTGATTTGCCCGGAAATGGGACACCTAACCCATTAGGTAAAGACTTATGAATGTGCAATGAAAAAAACAGTCATTTTTAAAACATCATTTGGGTCAGATCTTATTGAGATGTCTTCTTCCTTCCCTGTCCTTCCCTCCCTTCCTCTCTTTCTCTTTCTCTCTCTAGCTGTAAATCATTGGCAGGTTATTTAACCTTGGAAACTTGAAGTTTCTCTTGTTTTATAAAGAGATAACATTACTACCTTGCTGATGGAGATCTTGTGAGAATTAAATGACAGAATAGAATAAAACAATTAGAAGAGTGCATGAAATATAGTAACACTCAAATGTTAGCATTTATTATATTGCGCAGCATAAACTAACCAGGCTGGTATTAGTGATTCTTAAATTCTACACCAATGTGCTGAATAATTGAGTTTTCAAATTGACTTTCTGTATTTGTACTTTACATCTATATATTGAGTCTTAGCCCAGTGATCTTCAAATATTTGTTAAATTTACTTTATATAAATATACAGATGAGTATTCAGAATATTAGAATGTAGTCAAAATACTTCAATTGTATAATTGTATGGAAACTAGTTGACTATTCCCTTAATGATGTCCAGTGCATTTTAAGATTTGGCAGTTCCATAAGGTCACTTAGAATGTTAGTGATCATACTGAAGATAGGGGTTGGAGAAGGGACTCATAATTTGCTTCTGCTTTAAGTTACTGATGGTATCAGTTGGGGTCTATAGTACATATTGCCTGCATGAGTCTTTCTGCATCCTAAACAGATATTTTTGGAAAGTAACCCAAATTTAGAAGCAAGCAGAAAGATCAAATCTTCCTTTCTTGCAGTTATCTACAACATCAGAAATAATAATTGGAAAAGCTGGGCAATTGTGTTTATTATATATATTTACCTTGTTTATGTCACTTATACTTTCATCTATTTACAATTTAGTAATTTGGCAATTCTGATGTATGTTTTATATGTGTATAGTTAAGGGATAAAACTTATGGGTTATTGTTAATTACTTGAAAATTATTGAAGGGAAGCTGGTTATGAAAATCCTTGTTAAAAGAGAGCATTTTGACATTCTGTAACTTAACCCTTAAAAATTAGTGAGTAAATAATACATTGCTATAACATATTCTGTAATCTATTAAAATCTTCATAAAAGTTGACAAGCACTACATGGTTTGCAGATGAGACAGTTAATAATTACTATTAATATGTAAATGTAGGTTAAAAATCAAATAACAGTTAAGTCAATAATGAAACTTTAAAGACAGTTTTGTGTACCATGCACACAGATCCAAAAATCTGAGCACCATTAATCTGTCATATGTTTGATTACTTCATATATTTTTGTCTAAAATGGTCTTTAAATTGTTGAATCTGTATTCTTTACTGAATTTTATAAAATTTATGCTTTTTATGTATTAGAATAAACTCTGATATAGTTTAATCATTTATTTAAAATCTGTTGTGAGGCCAGGCACAGTGGCTCACGCCTGTAATCCCAGCACTTTGGGAGGCTGATAGCTTCAGGGCAGATCACTTTGGGTCAGGAGTTTGAGTCCAGCCTGGCCAATATGGCGAAACCCCGTCTTTACCAAAAATACAAAAATTAGCTGGGCATGGTGGCAGGAGCCTGTAATCCCAGCTGCTTGGAAGGCTGAGGCAGGCTAATTGCTTGAACCCCAGGGGGAGGAGGCTGCAGTGAACTGTGACTGCACCATTGTACTCCAGCCTGGGTGACGGAGCAAGACTCCGTCTCAAAAAAAAAAAAAAAAATCTGAAACTTTATTAAGGGTAGCTTCAAGGTTTTTTTCTAAAAGAGTTACTAATTATAATGTAACTTATCAATTACAAATTTTAATGAGGTCTGCCTCCTATGAGTCTAGATATAGCCATATCGCAGGTATTATAGTTATTTTAGAAAGGATATTATATATTTATATTTTGAATTTTACTTGTTTTCTTTAGTATGGCATCCAGGAGATTGTTTTTCTTGCAAGACTATTGACTGCCCACCATTCATTCTGCTAAATAAGTTGAGTAGGGAAGACCTGTTGCATTGTGAGTAGATATTCATAAACTGGAATGTGAGCCATGTGTAAAAAACTTTGGTTTCAACTTTAATGGTAAAAAAAAAAAAAAAAAAAGATCAAACTTGTTCTTAAATAGGTTGGCTGTTGCACCCAATAGAGGCCCTTTAGGCTTTCAGCCTAGGTTTTATCACAAGAAATAAAAGAACAGAAAAAGGGAGTGGGGCTGTAAATAGCTATTCTCAAATAGTTAGAGCCTGCAAAGATAGGATGTGTGAGTTAAAATCATAGTTACTAGGGAATCTTTTTTGAAGCAATGTGGCCGGGCCCCACTATGGACTTACTAGATCAACAATTTTTGTAAGACGGGTGAGGTGTGGAGTCCAAGGGTTGGGACATTTGTATTTTGAAAGACAACATCAGATAATTCTTTTTTCTCTTGACAAGTGCTATTTATTATAGCATTTTCATTTATGATTTGACCAAATATTATCAATCTTCTGAAAGAAATGTGCTTCACTGTTTTGTTCATTATTTGTATTCCCATGTGCTTGGCATGTAGTAGGCACTCATATTTATTTCAAGAGTTTGATGGCGAAATCAAGGTTAGTCCAAACCAGCACGTTTTAATAGAACTATAATGCAAGCCATGTAATTTCAAGTTTTCTTGAAGCCACATTTAAAAAGTGAAGAAGAAATAGGTGAAATTAATCTTATTTTATTTAACACAATGTAACCAAAATATCATTTCAGCATGCAATTGTTATTAAAAATTGAGATATTTTACATTTTCTTTCATAGTAATGTTTTGAAATCCAGTAGATATATTATACTTATAGATCATTTCAATTTGGACTAGCCACATTTAATGCACTTTGTATTCAAGTGTGATGTTCCTGGTGGCTACCAGTTTGGATAGTTCAAGTCTGAACCTTTAATTGTCTCTAAAGTGGGTTATGCCCTTTTGTGGTCTTTACCCATAAGGCCTAGAATGACATTGCTCTTCCTACCTAATCAAATTCTGAAGGGCTTGGTTTAAGATTGACTTTCTCCAGGAAGGCTTCCCTCACCACTTCTTGCATACAGTGAGCATGCAATTCTGTTTTCATTTTTTTCATGCTTTCAGGCTTAAAACAGTCTTTGTTAAAGTGTTTCTGTGAAACACTAGTCTCAGAAGGTAGGTTTTTGGAAGAAAAAGTACCATGTTTTAATACATTTGGGAATAGGAAAAGCTAATGATATACCCCCTCATGGAAAGTTAACAATGTGAATTAGTTTATTAATGGTCTAAGAAATTCTTCAGTAAAATATCCCATTTAACAAACTAAACAAATTCTTTGGTGTAATATATATTATGTTGCAGAAGCTATGTTATGCAGAATACACTATAGGAATATATTCTTAAAGAGATTTGTACTCTTGATGATTAGAAAAGGTTGGTAGACTTAAAGATATTACTTGAGATAGTTCTCCACTGATTTTTCCTTTTTAAAAAATTATTTTTCCTCTCTTCAGTTCTATTTCCCATTGCCTCACCCATTTTGAATTTGAGATGTTTGCAGAATTGACTTTCTATGAGAATAGTAGTCTTCTGCTTTGTTATTTCAAAATCAGCTGTATATTATTTACCTGTCTAGCTTAAGCTGCTTCTGTGAGATGTATCGTACTTCATGTATGACACATCTGACTCTGGAACTGAGTTTTATGAATGAAGTGGGTAAATTTAAGATAGTCTATTTTGTAATGGAAGTATGCTAATGTGAAACTGTGCAGGGCTAGGACTCCAACTAAGTGTCTGAGAACATTATATATAATGTCAGGAGTGTGCTTGACTCTTCTGTTGCTTCAATTCAGAAGAAAAAAATATTAATGAAATGCTAGTATTGGTAAACTGTAGTAAAATCAGTTTAATATAGTAACTGTGAATTATTCATGATAGACATGATTGCTATTACTGAAAATCTTAGGCCCTAGTTTTGAAGATTATTAATAAAATTTCTAATTTAGTTGTAGCTAGATTCTTAAAGTACTCAGCAATTATGGTGGCTATTTTGAAACTGTGCATTGTTTATCAAGCTTGTTTTTCATGTAAAAGGATCTGGGCATTGATATATTTTCATTATATTTGTAGTTAATAGTAAAAATGTTTAAATGTCCTTTCATTATAGACTCAGATTCCCTACTAATTTGATTTAGAGATAATCATTCATGGCTATACATTTAATTTAATACTAAGCCTGACAATAAACTGCCTAGTTTTTAAAACCTGCTTAGAGATACCATACCTACTTTATTTTAAATGCAAAATAAAAAAGTCCTTCTCCATTCCTTTAATTTTTTGGAAGAGAATCAAGTGGAAGAAGGCATATAGCTAACAGTTCTATACTTCTCTTTAAGGGCACAGGACTAAAACATGATAGCAGCATTTCTCACTTAATCATAAGCCTGCTTATGTTAATGGCTACTGCAGTCACTCTAAAACTCTGCATTTCTGCTTGTTAAATTTAAAGGAAGTAAAAAATTACTGCCAACACAATCTTTGAGAAACATGCAAATAATACAGTTGTATTTAATGTCAACTTATATAGTAGCTTCCCCATTCCTATAAACACTTCTGAGGTTATATGATTATCTTGATGCAGTTTTTCTGCCTAGTTCATATTAAAAGCAGAGTGAACTTCAATATTGAAATAACAGTAAGGGAATTTCTGTTCTTTTTCAAGGTGTTGCATTGTTTATTGTTGTATACTAGTACAGTGCCAAAGGATTTATAATTTTTTTCTTTTAAACTGGTATAGACCCTACAGTTGACTGATTTTGAATAACAAAAAGGCATATCAAGTTTATAATTAGTAATACTAATTAGCAGGAAATAAGACTATCTAGATTATTGACATTCTTTTCTGTATTTAAGAAAATAAAATTAAGAAATTATGTTTGCCGTTTTCAATGAGGAAAGATTTTCAACTTCGGGATTCTTAAAGTACTCAGCAATTATGTTGGCTATTTTGAAACTGCATTGTTTATCAAGCTTGTTTTTCATGTAAAAGGATCTGGGCATTGATATATTTTCTTTATATTTATAGTTAATAGTAAAAATGTTTAAATATATAAGTAGCTGGTGAAATTTGTATTTGGCATGCCCCAAAGCCCCTTTTCCTTCAAAAGCTTTAATCCTGACAGCATCTCTTGAAATATAAAACAAATTTGAAGTTCCCTAAGAAAAATACATGTTTTTCTTTGAGGATACTACTGTTGCTTTGCTGCCCTCTACAGTCATCTAAAATAGTCACTCTAGATTTTTCTCCATTCAGATACTTAGAATACTTTTTCCCTGACCTGTGTATGAGCTTTATATTTCAGGAATGGGTTAAGTAATATTTACTGTTACAGAAGTAAAGTTTAGTCACAGTTAATCTATATATGTCATGCAAAAAAAAAAAAAAAGGACTTAGAGATTTGAACAAGGGATAAATTGGGGACTATTGAGCAACAACCATGTGCTAGGGAGTATAAAGGATACCACGGTGGAATGAGGCATGTTGGCCCTCTAAAGCTTATGAACTCATTAATACGATTAATGGCATGCTTATATATCAAATGACATTTGTAACAACATGCCAAGTGATATGATATAGTT
Source organism: Homo sapiens (assembly GCF_000001405.40). Taxonomy (NCBI): domain Eukaryota; kingdom Metazoa; phylum Chordata; class Mammalia; order Primates; family Hominidae; genus Homo; species Homo sapiens. Next base: position 111,080,887 of record NC_000003.12, read on the forward strand.
TACAGAAATATTAGTAAGGGCTGGAAGAGTTAAAAATGAGACTTTTGAGCTATGTCTTCAAGAGTTTAGACAGATAAAACAGGGTGGTTTTAAACATATTTAAAACACAAAGCAGGCTGGGTGCAGTGGCTCACGTCTGTAATCCCTGAGAGGCTAAGGCAGGAGGATTGTTTGAGCCCAATTCTTTGAGACCAGCCTGGGCAACATAGTGAGACCTCGTCTCTGCCAATAAATAAATAAATAAATAAGCCAGGCATGGTGGAGTCCACCTGTAGTAGCAACTACTCAGGAGGGTAAGGTGGGAGGATTGCTTGAGCCCGGAAGGCTGAGGCTGTAGTGAGCTAAGATTTTGCCTCTGCATTCCATCCTGGACAACAGGGCAAGACTCTGTTTCACCATAAAAACAAAAGACAAAACAAAACAACAAGAAAAACCACAACCCTACAAAGCATCTGTTATGTAGAAAGGACTCTTCTAGGCTCCTTGGAGTCTTTGCCCTTAAGAAATGTAAAACTTAATTGTCAGGAGATTGGAATGAAAGATGTCTTTCTCTGTGTATGTGTGTGTGTGTATTAACCCAGTTACTTCTCTCCCTGTTTCCTCCCCTGTTAAATTGGCTAAATAATACTTTCTTCACAGAATTGCTATGAAATTAAATTGCAATAAAGTGCTATGTAAATACAACAAACAATACAGTGAACAAAAATGACTTGTCTTATGTGAGAAATTTAACAAAGTATTGTCGGATTATAGAAAGAGGACCAATTTAACTAGGGGTGGAAGAAGACTTAGAGGAGCTAATTTTCTAGCTGAATCTTGAAGGAATAGCTTAGATTTCTGTTTGTGAGGGAAAGTCAGTGAAAAAGAGGGTGTTCCAACTTAAAGACCACTGAGATGAGGACTCTAGAAGGAATTAGTGTTCTCATGTGACTCAAGCATGAACTTTATGGAGGGAAGTCGTGGATTTTTAAATACTTTGCTGAGGCGATTAGACTGTGGTAGCCACTGAGGAGCTTTTGAAGGCAGGCAACTGTGGAGTCCATCCATGACTTGATAGATTGTATAGCTCTGGCAGAAATGTAAAAAATATATTGGAGCTATGACAGACAAGTGAAGGTGACAACCATTGTGATATTCCATGGAAAGAGGATTACAGAGATAAATGACAGTTTTGCAAAGGGATTTGAAGGGAGGCTTGGATCTGAGAAGTAGATGATATGGTGTTTGGATATCATTGTGGGTAAGGAAGGAGGAGTTAGATATGAACCAACTTGGAATAACTAGGAAAGGATGATGAGAGGATTGATTAATCAATCCAGTAAGGTTTCACATGCATTTGTGGTGTACTTTTGAGCTGTAGCTGGAAATTTGTGAGAGTTGGGGTTAGAAGGGTGAGGTACGAGGGGTAGGAGGTAGGTTGTGAAACTGGGAATTATCAGGATTGAGGTATTTGCATTGAATGAGCTGTTTCAGAGAGAAAAGGGAACACAGGCAGAAGAGAGAGAGTGAGAAGAAAAAAGTGGAGAGAGGGAAGGGAATAGTGGATGGGGCCAGAATTTTTTTTTAGATTGAGGTATTTTGATTGGATAAGCTATCGGAGGGAGAGAGAAGAAAAATGTTCAAGGAAAAATCTTAGTTGATAAATAAATGAATACATTTAGTAGAGGTAAGGGCATTCGTGACTCTTAGTAATTTTAGTAAAAGTGGTTAGGAGAAAAATGTCACATCTTAAAGCAGAGGTCTCCAACTTTTTTGGCACCAGGGACTGGTTTTGTGGAAGACAGTTTTCCCATGGCCTGGGGTTAGGGGCAGTGAATGGTTTTGGGATGATTGAAGTGCATTGCATTTATTGTGTAGTTTATTTCTATTGTTATTAGATTGTAATATATAATGAAATAATTATACAATTCACCATAACGTAGAATCAGTGGGAGCCCAGAGCTTGTTTTCCTGCAACTAGACAGTCCCGTCTGGGGGTGATGGGAGATAGTGACAGATCATCAGGCATTAGATTCTTGTAAGGAGTGCACAACATAGATCCCCCACATGTGCAGTTCTCAGTAGGGTTCGTGCTCCTGTGAGAATCTAATACTGCTGCTGATCTGATAGCAGGCAGAGCTCAGGTGGTAATACAAGCGATGGGGAGCAGTTGTAAATACGGATGAGAGATGGGGAGTGGCTGGTGAATACAGATGAAGCTTCACTTGCTTGCCCACCACTCACTTTCTGCTGTGCGGTCCAGTTCCTGACAGGCCACAGACTCGTACGGGGGTTGGAGACCCCTGTCTTCAAGGATTAAGAAATCATGGGATAGTGAAGGAGAGTAGGGACAACTCTTGGGAAAGAAAGGAAAGAGAAAAAAGAGTAATTTGTGAGGGAACAAGACTATGTCAGTTGTTATGGACTGAAAGTTTGTGTTCCCCTTCTCCCCCAAATCCATATGTTGAGCTCGCAACCCTCAATGTGATGGTGTTAGGGGGCATAGGGCCTTTGGGAAGTAATTAGGTTTAGATGAGGTCAGGAGGGTAGAGCCTCATGATGTGATTAGTGTCCTTATAAGAAGAGGAAGACACTAGAGCTGTTTCTCTCCATCATGCAAGGATGTAGCAGAAAAGCAGGCATCTGCATGCCAGGAAGAGGGCTGTCACCAGGAACCTGATAATGCTGGCACCCTTGTCTCAGACTTTCATGCTCCAGAGCTGTAACAAAGAGTGTAAGCCAGCTAGTCTATGGTATTTTGTTAAAGCAGCCCAAGCCGAGACATCAGTCAAGGTTTTATTCACAAACATCAGAAACTTGACCCCGTGGTTAAAAGACAGTTTTTTGAAAGATATTGGATGCTTCAGGCATGGAAAACAAGAACTGAAAGAAGGTAGGCAACTAGAACTATATCCAGAACCATAGCTAAGATACTATATTGAGGGGCAGTTTGTTAAGGTCATTACCTGCTGTCTCCTGGACGCTGGATGATATAGCCTTGTCTCTGATACTGGCTTTGCTGCTCATAGAAACTGGATGTTGTTGTTGCCATAGCCCAAGAAAATATATTGTCCACAAGTGTCCACTATAGAAAGTTGAAAAACTTTTTTTAAAAAATTTAATTTATATGATGAGACTTCTGTGTCTTTGGGAGAGAAGCAGGAGAAGCTCATTGATACGGCAAGGTCCAGGAAAAGAGATAAGTGGAAACATTAAAAACACAGATGAGAGATGCTAGTATTAGAAATGGAAGACACTTCTTTCTACTAAATAGGGAAAAGAAAATGATAGGTGAAGATGTTGAGACACTTCCAGGTGTGAGAGAGGGAAGTTACAAAAAGGTCTTGTTCTTTAGCGATATAAGTGATAAACTTTTAGAATGAGTGTGGAGTGATGTTGGGACTTAGGATAGAACCTGTGGTGAAAAATGGAATAAGACATCAACTAAGAATGAATGAAATGATTCAGTATTGAAGGCATGAATTGGCATAACATGGACTTGTGAAACGTGAAAGATGGTGTGGAGGCAGTAGTAAGTTTATGTTGTGTGGATGTTAGTATTTAATTGAGCACTAGGTCTACTAGAGACTATTCTAGGTACTGTGAAAGACTAGCCGATAAAGAACAAAATGTGTTCTGGGAACCACTTGTGTTTATGTATGGAAAGAAGTAGAATAGAGTCAGACTGAGTGCTTTTTAAATGTGATGTGATAGGGTGTCTGAAAGTTTGAGAACAAGGGTGATGTAAGGAAGGTAGGATTTAAGAAATAAAGATATTATTGAGGCCTAAAGTAGGGTTGTAATGGTAGAAATGGAAGGGAAAGGTTTAGAAACGAGATAATTAAATGGTAAAATAATACCTCTTAATAATTCTAGGATATAAGAAATGGAGGAAAATTAGTGGAGTTTTCAGACAGATGGGAAAATATTGTAAAAGTTATTGAATGGAAGATTGATGTAGGAATTAGATGTTGCATACCTGGAAGGGTGGGCTGCCATAACAAAATGCCACAAACTGGATGGCTTAAAACAGCATAAATTTATTCTCTCACAGTTCTGGAGCCTGGAAGTCTGAAATCAAGGTGTAAGCAAGGCCATGTTCCCTTTGAAACTCTGGATAGAATCCTTCCTTGCCTTTTTCTGCCTAGTTTCTGGTTGTGGCTGTGTCTCTTTAGTGTTTCTTGGCCTACTGCTGCATTATTACAATCTCTGATCTGTTGTCACATGACGTTTTCCCTGTATGTCTCAATAGGACAAAAGTCATATCGGATTAAGGGCTACCCCACTCAGGTATGACCACATCTGAATTTACATCTTAAATACATCTGTGGACACTCTATTTCCAAATAAGTTCACATTCACAGACACTAGAGGTGAGGGCTTCAACACACAATTCAGCCTGTAATACAGGGATGATGATTTTTGTTTTGGCTGTGTAAGCTGTGAGATTTTAGGCTTGATTAAAGTCAAAGTGCCAGTTAAATGCAGCATTTGAGGATGTGAGGTATGAGGTGGTTTGAATGAAACTTGAGAGAGACTCATGAAATATTAAAACTTTTAAAATTGACGTATACATCAGAAAAATACATACATAAATGTGCGGTTGGATGAACTGTTAAAATGTGAGGATATTCCTGAAACCATTTTCCTGGTCAAAAAATAAAACATTACCAGGCTCCAGAAGTCCTTCTCTCATACTCCTCAGTCACAAATCCTTTTCTCTTAACCACCATTCTGACTTCTAGCACCACACATTAGTTTTTCCTGTTTTTGAACTTTGTAATACTTCTTTGCTTACACTGTGAGATTCATCCATGTTGTTGCATGTAGCAGTATTTTTTTTTTTTTTACCACTGTACGGTATTTTGTTCCATGACTGTTCCATAATTTATCAGTTTTAATGTTGGACAGACATTTGGGTTATTTTCACTTTGAGGCTTTTATGAATGGTACTGCTGTGAACATCATCGTGCCTGTTTTTGGTGGTGGTATTGCTGGTTCATATTATGCATATTTTTGTTGGAATAATTTTCCAAAGTGCTTATAACAATTCATACTCCCACCAATAATGTTTGAGAGTTTCAATTGCTCTACATTCTCACTAGTCCTTTGTAATATCAGTATTTTTCTTTTAACCATTCTGGTCAGCATGTAGTGGTGATTGTGATTTTAATTTGTAATTCCTTAATGATTGAGATTTAAGATTATGGGCCATTTGAATATCCTCTTTTGTGAAGTGCCTGTTCATTCTTTTTCCTTTTTATTCAGTTAGGTTGTCTTTCATCTTTTTATGGGTTCCTAGGAATTGTTTATATTTGCTAAATATGAACCCTTTGTTAATTATATGTATTGCAAATATCTTCTACTCTGGCCATTTCACTCTGTGAATGGTTTCTGTTGATAAAAAGCAGTTCCTGAATATCTGTCTGTGTAGTCAAAACCAGTCTTTTTCTTTACAATTAATTTGTTGTGTTTTTGTTTAGGAAATCTTTCTCTAGTACACCATCATGAAATTTTTTCCCGCTAGAATCTTTATTATTTGCCTTTACTGTAGTACATCTAAAATTTATTTTTGTGATTATATAAGATAGGGTTCATATTTTTTCCTCCATTTACTATTTAGTCAGCCATCACCATTTATGGAAAAGACTCTCTGCTGTGCAATGCTGGCTTTATAATAAATCAAGTAGCCATATATGCCTGGAGTTTTTTGGACTCTGTTCCAGTGGTCCATTTTTCTATCTCTGTACAAGTATCATAATGTCTCATTAGAGCTTTATAATAGATCCTCATATTGGGTGGAGTAAGCTCGCCTATTCAGGTTTATTGTACTTAGTCTTGTTCCTTTTTCCTTTCCACATAAATTTTAGTGGCAGTTTATTAATTTTCATAAAAAGCCTGCAGGATTTTTAGTGGCAGTTCATTAAATTTATATGGATTAATGTGGGGCTAGATTTGGCATCTTTCTAATGCTGAGTCTTCCAATCCATGAGCCTGTTTTATCTATTTATTGAGGTTTTCCTTAAATAAAATCTTCTGGTTTGTTCTGTGTGTAGACATCTTATATAACTGTAAATTTTAGATTAAACTTAATCTAATTTTAATTATAGATTTATTTCAAGTTATTTGGCTTTTTGATGTTATTATAAATAATATTTATAAAATGTTTTCTCATTGTTTGTGGCATGTAAAATGCAATCCATTTTGGTACTGTGACCTTATGTAAAGAGACCTTGCTTAATTTCACTTATTTCTAATACTTTGTGGAATCTTTTGAATTTTCCATCTATATAAGCATGCCATCTATGATGAAGGCCTGTTTCTCTTCAATGATTGTATTGTTTTTCTTTTCCTTTACCTTATTGCACTGGCTAGGACATCCAGTGTGATATTAAAGTGGTGACTACAAGCATTGTTACATGTGTAATCTCAGAGGTAAAAGTGTTCAGCATTTCAAAATTAAGTATAATTTTTTTGTAGCATTTAAAAAAAATAGAAGATGCCAGGCCGGGTGCTGTGCCTCACGCCTGTAATCCCAGCACTTTGGGAGACCAAGGCTGGCGTATCACTGGAGGTCAGGAGTTCAAGACCAGCCTGGCCAACATGGCAAAATCCTGTCTCTATTAAAAATACAAAAATTAGCCTGGTGTGGTGGTGCACACCTGTAATCCCAGCTGCTTGGGAGGCTGAGGCAGGATAATCACTTGAACCCAGGAGGTGGAGGTTGCAGTGAGTGGAGATTGTGCCACTGCACTCCAGCCTGAGCAACAGAGCGAGACTCTGTCTCAAAAAAAATAAAGAAAGAAAACAGCCTTTTAAAAATTTAATTTTTTTTTTTTTAATTTTATTTTGAGACCGAGTCTTGTTCTGTTGCCCAGGCTGGAGTGCAATGGCATGATCCCAGCTCACTGCATCTTCTGCCTCCAGGTTCAAGTTATTCTCTTGCCTCAGTCTCCTGAGTAGCTGGGATTACAGGCGCCCGCTACCACGCCTGGCAAATTTTTGTATTTTTAGTAGAGATGGCATTTCACCATGTTGGGCAGGCTTGTCTTGAACTCCTGACCTCAAGCAATCTACCCTCCTCAGCCTCCCAAAGTGTTGGGATTATAGGTGTGAGCCACTGTGCCTGGCAGAAGAAGCCTTTTTCTCAGCTTAGGGAGGTAATATAGTTGGATGTTTGATTCTGCCAAGCCTCATGTTGAAATTTGATCCTCAGGGTTGGAGGTGGGGTCTGTTGGAAGGTGTTTGTGTTGCAGGGCAGATCCCCTCATGAATAGAGTAATGCCCTCCCTGGGGTGGTAGAGGGAGAAGAGTGAGTTCTCACTCTTATTAATTCCTGCAAGAGTTGTTTGTTAAAAAGAGTCTGGCACCTCCTCTCTAGCTTTGTTGCTTCCCATTGCCATGTGATCTCTGTACAACCCAGCTGTCCTTTGCCTTCTGCCATGCCAAAAGTGTCCTAAGGCTCTCTTCAGATACCCAGACCTAAACTTTTTCAGGTATCAGAATTGTGAGCTAAATAAACCTTTTTTCTTTATAAATTACCCAGTCTCAGGTATTCCTTCATTGCAACACAAAATGGGCTAAAGCAGGAAGTTTCTTTCTGTTCTCATTTTTTCTAAGAATTTTTATCGTGACTAGGTACTTAATTTTATCAAATGTTTTATCTTAAAGTTGAGGATATGATTTTTTCCCCCATTTTTTTAATAATGTGGTAAATTACATTTCTATGGGCCCAACATGCTTCTGCTATACAACTCTACTGATGGTGAATTACATTTATAAAAACATTAAACCATTATTGTGTTTCTGGAGTAATCTCAGTTTGGTTTTGATGAATATATCCTTTATTATATCACTGGATTCTATTTGCTATTTTATTTTCTTTCCACATATGTTTATGAATTGCATTGGCCCAAAATTTTTCTTTCTTAAAATGCTTTTGCCACCTTTTGGTGTCAAGGCTGTGCTGGACTCATTAAAAACTTGGGAAGTGTTCATCTTTTTTTTGGTCTTGTGTAAGAGTTTAAGATTGATAATTTTTTCTTTGTTTTGCAGAATTCATCTGGGCATGTAGTTTTCTTTTTAAGGGAAGGATTTTTAATTACAGATTTAATATCTTAATAATTATAGTACTAGTCAGATTGATTGTGTCATTTTGGCACTTAGCATTTTTGTGGGAATTTGTCAACTTCATGCTTTCAAATCTTTTGACAAAAAAATTGTTCATAATATTTTCTTATCGTCTTTTTAATGCTTGGAGGATAAGTAGTGATGCCCTATGTTTTCATTTCTTATGTTAGTATTTTGTGCCTTTTCTCATTTTCTGGATCAGTCTTTCCAAGAGATTTTCAATTTTATTATACTTTTCAAAGAACCCACTTTTGGTTCATTGTTGATTCTATTTTATGTTTGTTTCTATTTCATTATTTTCTTTTCTATCTTATTTTCTTCTACTTATTTTTATTTGGAGAGGGGCTTATTTCTTATTCTTTTTCTCATTCTTCAGATGGATAGTTAGATTACTGATTTTCAGCCTTTCTCGTGTGTGTGTGTGTGTGTGTGTGTATGTATATAAACATATACATACACACACATATATGTAATTTTTTTTCCTTTAGATATGACTTTGACTGCATCCCATGTGTATTCAGTTCAGAACATTTTGAAATTTCCGTGTCGTCTTTTTGACTCATGGATTATTTTGAGATTTTTGCTTAAGTAAATGGGATTTTAAAGTTATCTTTCTTACTGATTTTTGTTTTAACATTGTGTCAAGGAATTTTCTCTGTAGGATTTCAGTCTTTGGGCCCAATATGCAGTCAGTTTTGGCAATTTTGTGTGCACTTGAAAAAATTGCCTTTGTTGGGTGAAGTGTTCTCTCTCCATGTATGTATGTGTATATGAGTTAGATCGAGTTGGTTGCATTGTTCAAATTTTCTTAACCCTTTCTGATTTTTTTTTGCTTCTGTTAATTAATGAGCAGTTTATTAAAATTGTATGCCATGATGTAGATTTGTCTATTTTTTCTTTTGATTCTGTGAATTTTTGCCCCGTGCATATTAGGTTATGAGGTGCAATCAAATTTCGAATGGTATTTTCCTGGGACGTGGCTCTTTTATCATTATTAAATGGCCCTGTATCTCTAGCATTACTTCTTGCCTTAACATTTACTTTGTCTAGTTTTCATATAGCTACATAAGTTTATTTCAATTAGCGTTTGCATTTTATCTTTTTTGCAACCTTTACTCTCAATCTTTCTGTGTCCTTAAATTTAAGACGTATCTTTTGTAAGCAGCAGATATATTTTAGAAAGTCAGTCTACTAGGGTTTGTCTTTTGTTTGGCCTATTTAGTTATTAGAGTTTCTTTACATATTTGAGTTTAGCTCTACCATCTTACATTTTGCTTTCTACTTGTCCATACGTCCTTTGTTTTATTCATTTATTCATTTATTGCTTTCCTTTGTATAATTCTTCATAATTCCATTTTCCTATTGTTAGATTGCTGGTGTTATATTCTTTAATATTAACTTCATGAACTACCCTACTGTTAACTACCCTAGAGATTACAAGATGCATCCTTGACTTATTAAAGTCATATTAATTAGTACATATATTATTACTTCCCAGGCAATACAGGAACCATCAAATATTTAACTATCTTATCCTCATTCTGCCGTTAGTGCTAGTGTGTGTTTGCTTGTTTGTGTGTGTGTGTGTGTGTGTGTGTGTGTGTCTCATAAGGCATTTTGCATCTTTATTTTTTTATACAGTAAATATTTCTTTTTCATATGTGTTTACCCTTTCTGTAGTTCGTTTTTTCATGGCATCTTAAAGTTTTCCATCTGGAATTCTTTTTCTTACTCTGAAGATCATCCTTTGTATTTTCTTTAGTGCAAGTCTGCTGATTAAAATTCTCTTTTTGCCTTAAACTTCTTTATTTTACCTTTTTAAATAGGTTGGTGAAAAGTGATTGTGGTTTTTGTCATTAAAACCACAATCACTTTTGCACCAGCCTATTTAAAACCATTTGTTTAACTTTATCCTCATTCCGCCATTAGTGCTAGTGTGTGTGTGTGTGTATCTCATAAGCATTTTTATTGTTTTATGCAGTAAATACAGAAGCTTTATTGATATAATTCACATACTTTACAGTTTACTGATTTAAAGTGTGTATAGATAATTGGTTGTTAGTATATTTATAGAGTTATGCAGCTATCACTGTAGTCAATGTTACTATTTCCTCCACAAAAATAAGTCAGTTCCCATTTTACCTCACTGCTCCTAACACTATACAACACTAATTTACTTCTTTGTCTTTAAACATGTACTATTCTATATATTTCATTAAATGCTACCATAAAATGTGTAGTCTTTTTCTTTTCTTTTATTTGTTTATTTATTTTTTTTGAGACGGAGTCTTGCTTTGTCGCCCAGGCTGGAGTGCAGTGGTGCGATCTCAGCTCACTGCAAGCTCCGCCTCCCAGGTTCACGCCATCTCCTGCCTCAGCCTCCCGAGTAGCTGGGACTACAGGCGCCCACTATGCCCGGCTAATTTTTTGTATTTTTTAGTAGAGACGGGGTTTCACTGTGTTAGCCTGGATGGTCTCAATCTCCTGACCTCATGATTCACCCGCCTCGGCCTCCAGAGTGTTGGGATTATAACAGGCGTGAGCCACTGCACCCGGCCAATGTGTAGTCTTTTGTATCTGTATTATTTCATTTAGTGTAATGTTATCAAAGTTCATCAATGTTGTTGTATATGTCAGTATTTCATTCTTTTTTATTGTAACTAATATTCTGTTATGTAGATATCACATTTGTCTGTCTAGTCATTAGTTGATAGACATTTGGGTTATTTCTGCTTTGGGGTTATTATAAATAATGCTGCTGTAAATGTTCATATATAGGTTTTTGTGTGGACATATATTTTTATTTCACTTGGGTATTTACCTGCAAGTGAAATTGCTGGAGGTGTTGCTAATTATATTTTACCTTTTGAAGAACTACCAAACTGTTTTCCAAAGGGGCTATACCATTTTATGTTCCCACCAGCATTGGAAAAGTCTTCCCCACATTCTTACAAAAACTTGTTATCTGCCTTTTTAATTGTAACCATCACAAGTGGGTATGAGGTGGTGTATGGTTGTTTTAATTTGCATTACCGTGATGGCTGATGATGTTGAGCAAATTTTCATTTGCTTATTGGCCATTTATATATGTTCTCTGAAGGCATGTCAGTTCAGACCCTTTGCTCATGTTTCAATTGGGTTATTTATATTTTTATAATTGACCTGTAAGAGGTTCCCCCCACCCCAAGATATATTCTAGAGACAAGTATTTTAGGTATGTGTTCTGCAAATGATTTCTTTTGGTCTGTAGGTTGTGTTTTCTTTCACCCTATTGATGTCCATTTTAACAGAAAAGCTTTTCATTTTGATAAAATACACTATCTGTTTTTTATCCTTTAATTGCTTATGCTTGTGCCATATCTAGAAGGCTTTGACTAACACAAGTTCATGAAGATGTACTACAGTATTTTCTTCTAGGAGTTTTTTAGTTGTACCTCTTATATTCAGCTCTATGATCCATTTTGATATAATTTTTGTGTATGGTACAAGGAAAGAGTCTAACATCATTTTTTTAATATGGATATCTAGTTGTTGCAGGACCATTTGTTGAAAAGATTATTCTTTTCCCATTGAATTGACTTGGTACTCTTGTTGAAAATAAATTGATAAATGTGATGGTTTATCTGGACTCAGTACTGTTCTGTTGATTCATATGTCTTCTTATTCTAGTGTCACACAGTTTTGATTAGTTTCAGTCACACAGTTTTAGTCACTGTAGTTTTGAAGAAAGTCTTGAAATTGGGCAGTGTTAGTCCTCCAATTTTATTTTATTTTTCAAGTTTGGTTATTACTAGACCCTTTAGTTTCCATATAAATTTCAGATTTAATTTGTCAATTTCAGCAATTGTGCCAGGTAGGATTTGGATAAGAGAGTAGGTTGAATCTCTAGATTAGTTTGGAGATTATTGCCATTTTAACAGTATTAACTGTTGATACATGAACATGGGATAAGTTTACATTTATTTAGGCTTTCTTTAATTTCTTTTAACATTGTTTTGTAATTTTCAGTGTAAGCTTTACACTTCATTGTTAAATTTTTTCATATTTTGTTGGTATTGTCAGTGGCACTGCTTTCTTAATTTCATTTTTGGATTATTTATTCCTAGTCTATAGAAATGCAGTTGAATTTTGTGTATTGAGCTTGTATCCTTCAAACCTGATGAACTGTTTTATTAGTTCTAACAGCCTCTTCCTCCTGCAATATCTTTTCAGTCCCCTCTCCCAAGACAATGCAGCACTGTTCACATTAAAGGAGAAATACTTAAAGGAATTCCATTTTATCACAGAGCATATATAGAAGGATGCATTTGGAGCTGAGAGGCAATATATTGATAATGTGCACATTTCCATAGTGTGACCATATTTTAAAGGTGTTCATGCACAAGATTAGAAGCTAAGTATTAATGTGTGTGGTTTTTTTATTTTGTTGGGTTTTTTTTTTTTTTTGAGACAGAGTTTCGCTCTTGTTGCCCAATGTTGCCCAAGCTGGAGTGCAATGGCGTGATCTTGGCTCCCTGCAACCTCCACCTCCTGGGTTCAAGTGATTCTCCTACCCCAGCCTCCTGAGTAACTAGGATTACAGGCACGTGCCACCACGCCTGGATAATTTTTTGTATTTTTAGTAGAAACGGGGTTTTACCATGTTAGCCAGGCTGGCCTCGAACTCCTAACCTCAGGTGATCCGCCTGCCTGAGCCTCCCAAAGTGCTGGGATTACAGGCATGAGCCACCGTGCCTGGCTTTATGTATCTCTTAAACCAAATGAAATGAAAAAATGTTTATATTATTGCCTTTCTAGAAACTTAAGTTTATACATATTAATTTGTGTAACTAAAACATTTAAATATTTAGATAGTGGATGGAATGTAAAAACAACGTAAACAATTGTTTTAAAACCTCTATTAGTCTGCTTTTAGTGTGTCATAACTTGCATTGCCTTGTCACTTATGTGAAACACTTACTCTGTAGATGCTGATCTACTGCTTTAGAATATCAAATTGTGACAGTTACTTTATTTCATTGGATATAAATTGTCATTGATTAAAAGATATTATGATTTTATTAAGGAAAGGAAAAGACAAAAACAAACTGTGGCAATACTTTTGTATCACTTATAATTTTTATTTTATATATATTGACTTATTTTATATTTACTATACTTTTATTTCATACAAGGAAGGAAAAGACAAAACAAAAAAAAACTGTGACAATACTTTTATATCACTTGTAATTTTTATTTTATGTCTATTGACTTATTTTATATTTACTATACTCTTATACTTCTCAATATTTCACCCATAGGCATAGTTTTAAAAATCATCATAATTTGTGTGCATACATGAAAATGGAAATATAAGTGGATAATGTTTAAGGTACTCCTATTTTTAATATTCAGTCTTACTTTTTCATATTGCTTTTTGCCTTTCTGTGCTTTTTCATCAGTGCTGTGAGGAGTTATTTGATGCTGTCTTTCATAAAAGATACGTTAAAAGATTACCAAGACTACCCTCAGATTCAGTAATTCTCTGGGGCCTTACAGGACTCAGAAGAGTCATACTCAAGGCTATGATTTATGACATATAAAGGATACCAAGCACAATCAGCAGTGGGGCCTGAGGCGAAGTCTTGGAAAAACCAGGAACAGGATTCCACAGTCCTTTTTCAGAGTCTCACAAGATGGATTCAGTTCCCTCAGGAACAAGTTGTGACATTTATGAAATGTTACCAGCCACAGAAGCTCATTAGAGACTAGTGACCCAGTGCACAGGGTTTTCATTTGGGGCTGATCATGAGAGTACTCCCTGCCTAGTGTATACCCAAATTCCAGACTCCTAGAAGGAAAGTAGTTATTCAGCATAAACCATATTTGCACAAAGAGTGAACTATCATCAGTTAATGGTAGAACCCCTCCCCAAATCTAAGTTCACCAATGCCAGTTAAGGGCTAATTTTGCAGGAAGTCTTTTTTTTCAAGGATAGCAGTTATGATTGCTATGTTAACTCATTAGTACACAAAAGATAATAGTCACTGAGATTTTTCTTACAAGGCTCTAAGAGCCATTCTGTAAGTTTTCATTCTGGTGCTATTCTCATCATACCAGAAGAAATTAGTGGAACATAGGGTTCTCATTAACTTAAAAGTCATAGGTCATAGTGTTGCATACTGTCAGTCATGCCACTAGGAATAATAACCAAGTTTGCGTATACACAGACCACCTATATCTATTTTAGAGACTTGAGGGAAAAATCTTCATCTTGGAGTCACTGAAAAAAAGGAACCTAAATTTGCTTTTCAGAAAAGGTTCCATGTTATATTGAGTTTTATATTCAAGAACTTAAAGAGATTCAAAGGCTAATGAATATTTGCTGTTGAGATACTTAATGGAAATTATGGTGGAAGAAAAGAGTGTGGTTGGATTATAGTATTATAGTGTGCATTTCTGGGGTCTACCTTTGATCAGCTTCTGTTCAGAAGGCAGAAGAAAGAACAAATTGCTAAATAGTGCAGAAAAAGACTCCAGACATCTAATCTGGTTATATTCAGCCTCCTTCCTGTTCCCCTGCCCCTTACTTTTTTCAACAGCTTTACATATTAATATGGTTTGGTGGTGTCCTCACCCAAATCTCATCTTGAATTCCCATGTGTTGTGGGAGGGACCCTATGGGAGGTAATTGAATCATGGGGGCAGGTCTTTCCTGTGATCTCCTTGTGATAGTAAGTCTCATGAGATCTGATGGTTTTACAAAGGGGAGTTTCCTTGCACAAGCCCTCTATGCCTGTAGCCATCCATGTAAGATGTGACTTGCTCCTTGTTGCCTTCCACTGTGATTGTGAGGCTTCCCCAGTCAGCTGGAACTGTGAGTTCTTCATTAATCCTCTTCCCTTTGTAAATTGCTCAGTCTCGGGTATGTCTTTATCAGCACCATGAAAATGGGCTAAAATAGTAAATTGGTGTCAGTGGAGTGGGGCATTACTGAAAAGATGCCTGAACATGTGGAAGTGACTTTGGAACTGGGTAACAGGCAGAGGTTGGAACAGTTTGGAGGGCTCAGAAGAAGACAGAAAAATGTGGGAAAGTTTGAAACTTCCTAGAGACTTGTTGAATGGCTTTGCCCAAAATGCTGATAATATGGACAGTAAAATCCAGGCTGAGGTGGTCTCAGATGGCGATGAGGAACCTGTTGGAAACTGGAGCAAAGGTGACTCTTGTCATGTTTCTGCAAAGAGTCTGGTGGCATTTTGCCCCTACCCTAGAGATATGTAGAACTTTGAAGCTGAGAGAGTTGATTTAGAGTATCTGGTGGGAGAAATTTCTAAGCAGCAAAGCATTCAAGAGGTGACTTGGGTGCTATTAAAGGCATTCAGTTTTAAAAGGAAAATAGACCATGCAAGTTTGGAAAATTTGCAGCTTGACAATGTGATAGAAAAGAAAATCCCATTTTCTGAGGAGAAATTCAAGCTGGCTGCAGACATTTGCATAAGTAATGAGGAGCCAAATGTTAATCATCAAGACAATGGGGAAAACGTCTCCATGCCATGTCAGAGACCTCTGCAGCAGCCCCTCCCTCCCATCACAGGCCTGGAGGTTTAGGAGGAAAAATGGTTTCTTGGGCTGGGCCCAGGGTCCCTCTGCTGTATGCAGTCTAGGACTTAGTATACTGCGTCCCAGCCGCTCCAGCCGTGACTGAAAGTGGCCAAGGTACAGCTCGGGCTGTTGCTTCAGAAGGTGGAAGCCCCAAGCCTTGGCAGCTTCCACGTGTTGTTGAGCCTGCGGGTGCACAGAGGTCAAGAATTTGGGTTTAGGAACCTCCACCTAGATTTCAGAAGATGTATGGAAAGGCCTGGATGCCCAGGCAAATGTTTGTTGCAGGGTTGGGGCCCTCATGGAGAATCTCTGTTAAGGCAGTGCAGAAGGGAAATGTGGGGTGGGATCTACCCCACAGAGTCCCCACTGGGATACCACCTAGTGGAGCTGTGAGAAGAGGGCCACTGTCCTCCAGACCCCAGAATTGTAGATCCACTGACAGCTTGCACTGTTCACCTGGAAAAGCTGCAGACACTCAATGCCAGCCCGTGAAAGCCGGGAGGGAGGCTGTACCCTGCAAAGCCACAGGGGCAGAGCTTCCCAAGACCATGGGAACCCATCTGTTGTATCAGCGTGACCTGGATGTGAGACATGTAGTCAAAGGAGATCAAAGGAGATCATTTTGGAGCTTTAAGTTTTGCCTGCCCCACTGGACTTCAGCCCCTTTGTTTTGGCCAGTGTCTTTCATTTGGAATGGCTGTATTTATCCAATACCTGTACCCCCATTGTATCTAGGAAGTAACTAACTTGCTTTTGACTTTACAGGCTCATAGGCAGAAGGGACTTGCCTTGTCTCGAATGAGACTTTGAACTGTGGACTTTTGAGTTAATGCTGAAATGAGTTAAGGCTTTGGGGGACTCTTGGGAAGGCATGATTGTTTTTGAAATGTGAGGACATGAGATTTGGGAGGGGCCAGAGATGGAATGATATGGTTTGGCTGTGTCCCCACCCAAATCTCATCTTCAATTCCCACATGTTGTGGGAGGGACCTGGTGGGAGGTAATTGAATCATGGGGGCAGATCTTTCCTGTGCTGTTCTTGTGTTAGTGAATAAGTCTCACAAGATCTGATGGTTTTAAAAAGAGGAGATTCCTTGCACAAGCTCTCTATGCCTGCTACCATCCATGTAAGATGTGACTTTTCTCCTTGCCTTCCTCCCTGATTGTGAGGCTTCTCCAGCCCTGTGGAACTGTGAGTTCTCCATTAAACCTCTTCCCTCCATTAAACCTCTTCCCTTTGTAAATTGTCCACTCTCGGGTGTATCTTTATCAGCAGCATGAAAATGGACGAATACACATATATAAAAATTTTACATGTATAAAAATGAAGCTGCTCTGACAGAAGCTGTTAGCCTTGTGCTTTGAAATTCTCTTGTGTAGTACTTTTCCCCACCTCTTCCTTGAGTTACATTACTAGAATTGAACATGGAGATCAATTTGAAAACCACTTTCTAGTCTAGATTCTTCCTTTTCTAGATGAGGAAGCTGAAACCTATTGAGTTTATAATTATCCTTTTCTTTGGTTTTAATCTGTAAAGTTATCTGGATTTAGAACAGAGAAGAAAAAAATACATCTAAACTAACACTGATTCTAGGACCTTTGAGCAGTGTGCAAGTCTGAACGTCTTCCCTGTTTTTGTTCATGTTATCACTACTGTTGTTCTGGGTATCATGCCAAATTTAGTGCAATACTCTCTTATATTAGTTTCCTAGGGCTTCTATAACACATTATCATAAACTAGTGACTTAAATATATTCTCACACAGTTCTGGAGCGCAGAAGTCTGTAATTTGTGCTGTGCATCCTATTTCAAAATCAAGCCGTGTTCCCTCCAGTGGCTCTAAGGGAGATTTTGTTCCATGCTTCTTTCAGCTTTGGTGGCTACAGGCATTCCTTGTCTTGTGGCTGCATAACTCCAGTTTTTTCCTGTGTCTTTACATGGCCTTCTCATCTCTCTGACCTCACTCTGTGTATTTTCTGTAAGGACACTTGTCATTGGATTTGGGATCTACCTGGATAATCCAGTGTCATCTCATCCTGAGACCTTTAACTTAATTACATCTTCAGAGACTCATTTTTCCAAATAAGATAACAGGTTCATTTCACCTAATTACTCTTTCTGCATCTGTGCTCTCTTTTTTCCAGTACAATATGTGAACTGTTAGACCAGTTTTCCTATTTACTCTTGTTAATTTTTTGACTTCCTGTATTTTCAACCTGCAATATTCTGTTTCTCCTCCTGACTACACTTTAAGTTTCCCAAGGTAAGGAGCATGCTTCATCTCCTTTGTCCTTCCTCAGCATAAATGCCTGGCCCATACAGGTAGGTTGTTAAATAAACGTTAGTTTAAAAAAAAAAAAAAAAGATGAGCAAACAAACTTAATTAAGAACTTGCCTTTCTGGCCTTATCTCCTGTCATTTTGTTACCAATACTTGGGTTTTTCTGAGTTTTATAAACTTTCCTTGTGTTTTCTGTTGCTGTGAGCCTGTTTGCTTTTGTTTTTCCTTTAGTGCCTTTACCCTGCCTGGAAAATCCCACCTCACCTAACATCCATCATAAATGCTACTGATCTCCTACAGCTTACAGACAAAATTAGTCACTAGTTTAGTTGTAGCTGAAAGAAAATGTTACTTTCTAGATGTAGCTTTTCTTACTCTACACACTTCTCTCATTGGTTTTCCTAAGTATCTTTTTAAGTTTGTACTCTTACCTAGGAGGCTCTCATAAGGATAATATGTCCCTGTTTGCCTTGGAATATCTAGGTTTACAAGTATTGTGGTAAAATTATTAATAATGTTTCTCTAAACAAAATTTTCGCTTGGTTAACAAATTACGTGGTCACTGTAGCCATAACGTTCATTGCCTTGTATGTCTTATTTTCTTTTCTAGATTATCAGTTCTTGGAATTTGTAGCTATACAATCTTCTGTGTTGTAGAACATAGTATTAATACTTTATATTCCATGAGTGAAAATCAATAAATATTTGAACACTTAATATGTGCTATGCATCCTATATTTTGCCTGTATTAGCACCCTTTTTTTCTTAACCTTCAGTTGTCTTAGAGTATCTACGTGTCTCAAACAAAAATTTGCAGTCACACCAGCCTCGCAAAGTCTAACTATGGATCAGTCTGGCTCTATACATTCTCTGTGCTTACCTCTTAGCTGCTAGTGATGCTGGGGTTAGGGGAGTGGGGAAGAAATCATATAGCCTTGTACATTAGTGCCACTACAGAATCAGGCTTTAGTTTTAACTGGACCTCAAACAATTTTAGTGCTTCTTCCTTTGGTGCTTAGTTAGTACCTATTTCCATGTTTGAGTGCTTCCTTTTAAATTTTATTGAGACCTTGTTAATTAGGTGATAATAGTCTTGTTTTATAGGTGATAAAACAGCTCAAGGACCCAGAGTCACACTGTTCTTGAATCTAGGTTAGTCCAACTCCAAAGTTCTTGCTTTTTTTTATTCCATTTTGTTACTCGTCTACAGTTTTAAGTCTCATTCTTAGACCTTAGAAGTACGTGTGTTACTGAATCATAAGCCCTATGTAATTGTTTAGAGGTGCTTCCTTTGAAACAGCAAGTTTGAGATTTTTGGATTATTAATGAATGTTGACATGTGGGTATACAAATTTTTACCTGGACCGTTATAGAAGGCTATATGAGAATTGGTAGATTTTTGTCTTTAAAGCGCCAGTTCCTTACATTGTCAACTTCTAAGAAGATATTTACAAGTTCACAAAATTTGAAATGCTCCAAAATTTGAAACTTTCCATAGCTGACAACTTTGTTCTCTGATGGTTCAGTGCACACAAACTTGCTTTCATGCACAAAATTTTAAAAAATACTGTGTAAAATTACTTTCAAGCTATATGTATAAGGTGTGTATGAAACATAAATGAATTTTGTGTTTAGGCTTTAGTCCTATTCCCAAGATATCTCATCATGTATATGCAAATATTTCAAAATAAGAAAAAAACAGCCAAAATTTGAAACACATCTTGTCCTAAGCATTTCAAATAAGGGCTACTCAACCTGTAATATAATTTTTGTGATATTTTTGGGAATACATTTTATTAGGATTAAAACTCATTTAAATATTTAAATAGTAATTTAAACTAACTTTAAGACTTTTTTAAAAACTAATTTTGAAATTATTTTAAAAATAATTCATTAGTATTTTAAAATTGCAACAGTTTCACAGGTTGAAGTGGGAATGGAAAGAGTAGAATCTGAATAATTGTTATGAAAACTCTGTCTCTGCATTTTGCTTGCATAGTGCTTAGTTTAAGAACTGCAATACCTCTCTAACTTTGTAATTTGAAAATCATTGAGATTTTGAACGTCCTGACTAGTAGCTCTTATAGATTTTCTTTCTATAAAACATTCAATTTTACTCATTTTGTGCTCAACATGAGGGAGTTGGGAAGATAACTGTTGAAAGCCAGGAGGCTGCTTCTTATCTGTGTTTTGCCATTAACTAGTCATGTAATAACAGCAGATCACTACCTCTATAAAATGAGGTTATATCAGATACCCCCTAAGGTCTCTTCCTGTTCTAAAGTTTTGTGCTTCTCTTCTGAAAATATGAAGAAATTGTGCTTTCACCCACACAGTAAATTCAACTAAAGAGAACCCTTACTTAATATTGGTTGGTTAAATCAAGATACTGTCCTTATTTGAAATTAAAACATAGCAATTGTTTGAGAATAGATGATGAAAACCCCATTTTAGAAAGAACATTTTATAAAAGCCTGAAATTGCTACTTAAAGATTATTAAAAATATCATGATACAGTAGGATTAACTTTATAGTTAGTGTTAATGTGTAGAAAATATTTTTGTAGAAATTTGCTATTTTCTATGCCTGTTATTCACTATATTGGTTACGTGTAAGTTATTATAGAAACGTAAACTTTTAAAAATTATTTGAAGCTGAATTTTTTAGCTTCATAGAAACCTGTAAACCTTTATTTAGAAAGGAAGTTGACTTTTATTGAACTTCTATTCTAGAATTGTGTTATCTAGAACTTTCTGCAGTGATGCAAATATAATGTAGCTATACTGTTCAGTATGATTGTCACTAGCTAATTGTGGAAATTGAGTACTTGAAATATGGCTTGTAACTGAAAACCTAATTTAATTTAAATTTAAATAGCCACATGTGGCTAGTGACTGAGACAGTACTGTTTTAGAAAATGCTAAGCAATGTGCCAGAGAATAATTACAAGACTTTAGTTCTAGTTCTTTGTGCCATTTCAGATTACTGTCCTTTCCCATTTTGTATTCAGCCTTCGTTTCCAGCCTTATTTGTACTTATGTATTTTGGCTTCATACTGAATCTTTGCTTAGCATGGAATGGTCTTCTCAGCTTATGAAAAGATGAGCCTTCAAGGTATAGCTTAAATGTCACATCTAGCAGAGTCTTCCTTGATCCTCTGGACTATGGCAAATGATACTGTCCCTTATAATTTATATGGCCCAGGGTAAGTCTTGACCTTTTTCATTCTTGGTCCATCATATGGAAAATAAATTACCTGCACCTAACAGGGTGATTTTTTAGGAGCAAGGGTTGGGATGTGGAGATCAATAGAAATGGTGTATATAAAAGCTTTTTGGCAGTTTTCAAGAATGTACAATTTTAAGGTGATGAAACATTTTATAAACGTTAAGACTGAATCCCAGAGAAATTAACTTTCCCACTATCCACCCATCATCTCCCATTTTCCACCTCACCCCACTTAGTACCTCAGTTGCAATAGTTCTTTAGCTATATTGGTTTCTATAATCCTTTCATCCTACTTCCTCCTCCCCCACTTCTTGACCAACTTAAAATTCATAATCCATCAAAACCACATCAACTCCCTTGCCTGTTTCTCTTTTAAATTGTGCATGCCTGGTAAAATGTCCAACCCAGGTTAAATCTTGTTCTGTGCCTTCTTCACGCCTCCACTCAGGCAGCTGAAAGCTGGTTGATGCTGCTGTAATTCAAGATCAGTAACTTTAAGCATGGCTTGTCTTTTTATTCTCTTTATAGTGTGTTTTTCAGAGCAGAAATTTTTAATTTAAATGAAGCCTAGCTTATCAAGAGTTTCTTTTATGGATCATGCCTTTGGTGTTTCATCTAAAACATTATTGTCGTATCTAAGGTCATCTAGATTTTTTTTGCTGTGTTGTCTTCTAGGGTTTTTGTAGTTTTGCATTTTATACTTAGGTTGATTATCTATTTCAAGTTAATTTTTGTGAAAGATATAAAATCTGTGTCTAGAATTATTTATTTGTATGTGGATGTCTGGTTGTTCCAGCATCATTTGTTGAAAAGATCTTTTCTTTATTACATTGCCTTTGCTCTTTTGTTAAAGATCAAAGTTAACGTATAGTTAAAGACTATATGAGTCTGTTTTTGGGCTCTATTCTGTTCCACTGACCTGTCTATTCTTTAGCCAATACCACGTGGTCTTGATCACAGTAACTTTATGTTAAGTCTTGAAGTCAGATAATGTAAGTCCTCTGACTTTGTTCTTCTTCAACATTGTGTTGACTCTTCTGGGTCTTTTGTTTCTCCGTATACATTTGAGAATCAGTTTGTTGCTAGCCACAAAATAACTTGCTGAGATTTTGATTGGAATGTTGTTGAATCTATAGATCTAGCATCTTGACAATATTGAGTCTTCCTATTCAAGAACATGAAATATCTCCCCATTTACTTAGTTATTTGATTTTCTCAGAATTGTATAGTTTTCTGCATATAGATCTTGTACATATTTTGTTAGATTTATACCTAAGCATTTTATTGTTGTGGGTGCTATGTAAATTTGTGTTTTTAACTTCAAATTCCACTTGATCATTACTGATACGTAAGAAAGTGATTGACTTTTTTTTTTTTTTAAATTAACTTTGTATTCTGTAACCTTGCTGTAATTGATTATTAGCTCCAGGAGTTTTTTCATCACCCACAATGACTAAATTTTTGATTAGAAAGGAAGTTTTATTTCTTAATAAATAAAGAAATAAAGAAAGGAAGAAATAAAACTTCCTTTCTAATCAGTATACATTTATTGCCTTTTCTGGTCTTATTACTTTAGTAAGGACTTCTGGTATGCTGTTGAAAAAGGAGTAGTGAGAGGGGAAATCCTTGCCTATTTCTGATCTTAACTGGAAAGATTCTAGTTTCTTGACATTAAGTATGATGTTGGCTGTGGGTGTTTTGTTTTGTAGATGTTCTTTATCAAGCTGGGGAAGTTGCAGCTATTGCTAGTTGGATGCCCCTTTGTATTGCTGACTAATATTTCATTGTATGGGTTTACCACAATTTGTATATTCATTCGTCTCTTGATGGACATTTGGATTGTTTCTACTTCTTGGGTGTACAAATAAAGCCACTATGAACATGGGTATGCAAGTGTACAAGTCTTTGTGTGGACACATGCCTTCTTTTCTGATGAGCAAAGACACAGGAATGATATGGCTGGATCATATGGTATGTTTAACTTTAAGAGACTGCTAAGTGTATTCCAGTGTGGTTTTACCATTTTACAGTTTAACCAGCAATGTAGGAGAGTTCTAATTCATCCATATTTTCTTCAAAACTTGTTATTGTCAGCCCATTTGATTTTGTCCACTCTTATGGCTATGTAGCAGTACCTTATTTTAGTTTTAGTTTACATTTCCTTAAAATGTTGATCATCTTTTCATGTGCTTGTTAATGTATCTTTGGTGATGTCTGTTCAGATCTTTTTTTTTTTTTTTTTTTTTTTGAGGGAGAGGATCTTGATCTGTCTACAAGGCTGGAGTGCAGTGGCATGACTGGAGTTTACTGCAGCCTTGACCTTCTAGGCTCAAGCGATTCTTCCATCTCAGACTCCTGAATAGCTGGGACTACAGGCGTACACCAACACGTCTGGCTAATTTTTTATTTTTCGTAGAGATGGGTTCTCACTATGTTGGCCAGGGTGGTCTCAAACTCCTGAGCTCAAACGGTCCTCCTGCTATAGCTTCCCAAAGTTGCTAGGATTACAGTCATGAGCCACTGCACCCGACCTCTTTTGCTCATGTTTTATTGGTTTGTCTTTTTATTGTGGAGTTTTGGGAGTTCTTTATGTGTTTTGGTTCTTATCAGATATAAATCCTTTACCAGATGCATGTTTTACAAGGATTTTCTCCTCATTAGTGGTTTTAAGTGTCGAAGAGCAGAATTTTTTTTATTTTGATGAAGACAACTCATTGTGCTTTTAATGACATATGTAAGAAATACCTGCCTAACTTAAGGTCACAAATATTTGCATTTCTAGATAAATTTTAGAACAACTTGTCAGTTTCGAATAAAGATGGGAATTTGATTGTGTTAAATCTGTAGATCAATTTAGAGAGAATTAATGTGTTAATAATGTTGTGTCTTCTGATCCATGAATAAAGTATGTCTCTCCATTTCTTTAGATAATTCTTTAATTTCTCTCAGCAAATTTTACAGTTCTAACTGTACAGTTTTTTCACACCTTTGGTCAGATTTATCTGTATTTCATCTTTTTTTCTTTTTTGTTTTCTTTTCTTTTTTTTCTTTTTTCTTTTTTCTTTTTTTTTTGAGACAGGGTCTTGCTCTGTCACCCAGGCTGGAGTGCAGTGGCACGATCTTGGCTCATTGCAACCTCTGCCTCTCAGACTCAAGCGATACTCCCACCTCAGCCTCCTGAATAGCTGGGGTGAGCCACCATGCCTGGCTAACTTACTATTTTTTGTAGAGATGGGGTTTGGCCATATTGCCCAGGCTGGTCTTAAATTCCTGACCTCAAGCAATTTACCTGCCTCGGCCTCCCAAAGTGTTTAAATTACAGATGTGAGCCACTGCACCCAGCCCTTATTTTCTACTTTTGATGCTATTCTACGTAGCAATGTTTTACATTTTTTATTTTCTAATTTTCTGCTGCTAATGCATAGAAATACAATCGATATGTATATATTGGTCTTAGGTCCTGCATAAGGTCTGCTACTAAACACCCTTTTCATAGTAGCTTTATTGTAGATTCCATCATATTTTCTCTAAAGACAATTGTGTTTTCTGTGAATAAAGACATTTCATTTGTTCCTTTCTGATTTGGAATTTATTTCTTTTTCTTGCTTGATTGTACTGGCTAGAACCTTCAGTACAATTTTGGATATAACTCAAAGACTGCCTAGCTCTATTTAGTTTCTCTGTCCTTGTGCTTCACTTCGTCTACTGCCTCTGAGGGATCAGAACTTTGTTGCCTGTTGACTGTTAACTTGAAATGGTTGTTTCAGGCAAAAGGATAAATCTTATTACTCCTTCATGTCTGTAAGGTGTCGTCTCTATTCTGTTTCAAATCAAGCTTTTATTCTCACCACTCCACCAAAACAGTTGCTAAATTCAGTGGTTACTTACCAGTGCTTTTTTTTTTTTTTTTTTCCCACTTCTTGGCAGCATTTGGAATAATTGACCCCTCTGTAGGTACTTTCTTCACTTAATGTATAGGATACCCTCTTGGTTCCCTTCTTGCTTCCCTGGCCAGCTTTATTGATGCTACTGAATTTAAATGTTAGAATGCACTATGGATCCTTGACATTTACACCTCTGTTCTCTATATTTTTAGTTCCTTGCTAATTGTCTGTTTCCTCATTAAAATGCAAACTGTCTAATGGCTCAGCACCTAGAGCAGTGCCTGGCACAAATTGTTCACCCAACGCATTCTGATGAATGAATGAAGAAATGGTTGGTTTTCTCAACCAGTTTTTGGCATGTGACCCAGGTTTCTCCTTAGAATATAGAAACCTTTAATTCCAGAATTATCATTTCTAATTATGACATGAGATGAAGTTAGAGATTCTTTGATAATATTTGTTTGCAGTTTATAGTGTTATTTATTTGCAGTTTATATGTTATTTAATTCACCTGGCTTTATTCTTACATGGTTATTTCTGTTTGAGTATTGTTTGGAGATTTTATTGAAAAACCTTTTTGTTATATTTTCAGAGTTGACATGACTTACCTATCAGTTTAAAACAAATCAGGTTAATTACTGAATGTGCTGGTGATAAATTTGATTCTTCCAAAATGTGTTTTGTTGAAGTATGATGAAATTTTTGAGGACAACTATATGCTATTACCTTGCTAGTTTGTTAATGTATATTTTATTAGTTGCCTCTAAATTATTCTAAATTTTGAGGAGTCTGAAAGGATTCATATCTTAGAGATTTTCAAAGGTGGTGTTTAGTTGAACACAGACTAAAATAAATGTTTCTTTTATAGCATATTTGCATACCCATTGTGTAGATCTTAACATTTGAAAGATCCTGGGAACTGAAATGTCCAATATGCATGCCATTACTGTAGGCTGAGAAGTGAAATGTGGTAAAAGATAGTATCAGAGTTTTAAAAAGTGTAGTGTCAAAAGTTTGTGATGGTTTCTGTTTCTTCTTGGTTCATTTCTGAGAGTCAGGGAGGAAAGAAAGGGAATGGTTGCAATTTTATTCATATTTTAATTTCAAACACTTTTAGTGTGTGTGATCTGTAATATGGATCTCCCTTCATTTTTTTTTAAAAAACCCATAGTAGTTATATACGTCATTACATTTTCTTTTCTGTCACAAGCATCTTCTTGAATGTGTGTATTTCCAAATGTTTTGTATCTCCCAGGCACTCTGTAAATATTGACTGAATGACTATTCAAAGACACATGAAGACTCCAAAGAGTTGTGTTTTCATGGTTGTAGTGTTTTTGTGGAGCTACAGATAGGGGAATAAATGCTGTCTCTTTCTCTGAAAGAATAATAAATTCAATTTAATTAATTAGCTAATGATACAAAACTAAACTTTTAAATCAGGAAGACAGAGTAGAAACAGAGTAGTATCCTGTTTTATTATGGTTTTCCTACGTGTCTAGAGTGTGCAGTAGCCAGGACCACCTTATGACAAGGTTAGAGTCTTGCTAGATGTGGAAGATTCAATTATTTGCTATTCCTTTGCCTCTTTATATTCTAGACTTACATTACCAATAGTGATGAACTTAAACTTTAAATAATTTAGCTCTTTAATAATAAACGTTTACATTTCTTCAGGACCTTTCTGCTCTCCAGTTAAACTCAGCTTCATGTGGGAAAGTAGAGGGAGGAAGTAGTAGTAGGCTTAAAGATTGGTAGTCTCTGAGTAGTGAGGCATTCTAATTTGGAGTTTGGTTTAAGAACTACAACAGAAAATCTGTTTCTGCACAGTTTTAAGATTCCATGGGGGAAAATCTTATTCAGAAGTGGTTTTTAACATTTGGATTTCGTCCAGGAATGGAAATGTATTAGATTCTTTTATTTGCAACAACAGAACTCTGGCTAATTAAAACATAAAAAAGCAGATATGTAATTAGAGGCTTATGGAATCTAAGGGAGGGCCAAATTTATTAATACTAGAAGAGTAGTACAACGCTTTGGTGAAAGGTTTAAGGGTTGAATCAAACAAAAAACACAGCAAAACTTACTTTTGTAACAAGCAGTAAAACTCAGAATACAGAAAAATTAGAAAGTAAAAATCACTTATTAGTTCCTAGAAATTAAAATAAAAGATGAAAAATAAATCTTGATAGTTACATTAGTATTTGTTTACTAGTAAAGCCAAACACCTTAAAATATAGCCACTTCTAAATTTTTTTTTTTTTTTTGTAAATATCAACTTTGTTCATTAGGGGTAACTCCTTCTGGTTAAGTCTCTCAGCCTTTTTTATTGGGTGATTTTTCTGTCTCTGCTGTCATGCTGAGAGAGAGGCTTTCCTAACCTAAATGTTGTAGAATTTTTAAAATACAATTTTGAACCAATGGGTCAGTTCCCTCCACCCCACAACAGTATCTCCCAATACTCCTTTTGGTAATGGTGGCCCACTAGGCTGTGGTTTTTCTGGATTGTAAGGAGATATAATTAGGTTATTCCAATACTACCTGTCTTAGTCAACTTGGGGTGTGTATTATAGTCCATTTGTGTTGCTATAAAGGAATACCTGATACTTGGTAATTTTAAAGGAAACAGGCTTATTTTGGCTCACCATTCTTCAGGCTGCACAGGAAACATGGTGCTGGCATCTGTTTCTGGTGAGGGCCTCAGGAAGCTTAGAATCATGGGAGAAAGTGAAGGGGAGCCAACATGTTACATAAAGCAAAAGAAAGCGGGGAAGTGCGAGCCTCTTTTAAACAGCCAGATCTCCTCTCCTGTGAACTCAGAGTGGAAACTCACTCATTACCACAGGGACAGCACCAAGCTATTAATGAGGGCTCCACTCCCATGACCCAAATACCTCTCATTAGGTCCACCTCCAATATGGGAGGTCACATTTCAACATGAAATTTGTAGGGGACAAAACATCCAAACCATTGCAGGCTGCTATAACAAAATACTGTAAACTGGGCAGCTTAAACAGCAGACATTTATTTCTCACATTTGGGGAGGTTGGGAAGTCCAAGATCCATGTGCCAGCAGATCCAGTTCTTGATGAGGATCTTCTTCCTGGATTGTAGACAATCACTTTCTCACTGTTTCCTCACATGGCCTAGAAAAAGTGAGGGAGTGAGCTCTCCTTTCTTTGTTTTAAGGACACCAGTCCAATCATGGGGAGCCCACCTGTATGACTTTATTTAAACCTAATTATCATGCAGAGGCCTACCAGATACTACCTTTGAGGTCAGAGCTTCAGAATGAATTTTAGGGAGGACACAAACATTCACTCCATAAAACTTCTCTTACTCCCTTTGTTGTTGTTGTGGTTTTACCTCCATTTGAAGGGGATAAAATAAAAACTAGAAATTCTTTCTTTGGTCCTCAGTAATGTTAAATTTGCCTTTCTAGGGTAATTAGTGTTATTTGACAAAATATACAGAAAGTTTTGTCTATATACATATGTACAGGCAATAATTTTTTACTTTTAGGTCTTCAGTCCATCTAGGGTTTTTTTTTCTTTTTCTTTCAGTGTTTAGTATAAAAGAGGGATCTGTATTTTTCCAAGTATTTTGCTCATGCTCTTTCAGCATTTCTTGACTAATATATTATTTTCCCACTCAAAATCTTAGTTTTGTTGTATAGCACATCCTATTATATATAGGTCTGTTTGTGTACTTTCAATTATTTTATGTTCCTAATACCAAACTTTTATTATTTTTACTTTAATATTTTCCCTCTTCAGTAGTCTGTTAGTGTTTTGAAATATTTTTGGCAGTTATTTCTACCCTGTTTTTAAAAAAATTTTATCAGGGTTTTCACTATAATTGCATTGCATTTGTGTATTAATATGGGGAGAATTGACATGTAAATAAGTTTTCCTACCTAGGAATATGGCATAGCTTCTATTTTTTCAAGTCAGGTTTATAAGTTTTTTACAGTTTTATTCATGAGTGTTTTAAATATTAATGTTTACAAATTAAACCCTTTTCTGCAATAAATCTGTAAAGATATCACCCTTTGTAACATACTGATTATATAGTTCATATACATTTTGCATATGTTTATAAGCAACTACATTATTGGTTCTAATAGCCCTTCATTTCATCTTCTTGGATTTTGCAGGTAATAGATTTTTCAAATAATAATTATTTCTTTTCCTTCCTAATATTTATCCTTTCCTTTTTCATATTACACTGGATTGAATTTCCAGTCTCAGTTGAACAATGATAGTGCACCATCTTGTCTTGGTCTTTTTTTAATACCCATGCCTCTTTCTGTTTAGTGTTGATAATGGCCACTGATTTGAGAAGAATCTACTTTATTAAGAATCCTTTTCTTAGTTAGATTTTCTTTTTAAATCAGATAGTAAATGGTAAGTTTTATTAAATACCTTTTTAACATCGAATAAGAAAGTCATGTGAGCTTTTAATGTGATGAGCAGTCTAAAAATATCCTTTTGTTCTTAGAATAGTCCTACTTGGCTGTGTAGTTTTCTTAAATACAGAGCTATTATTTCATAATAAATGAAATTTTTTGTTGATATTCATGAGACTACTTTTTTATTTGTTTATAAAGTACCAAGCTTGTGATAGGTTGCTAAAATACATTAGAATACTTTCACATTTCATATATCTTGGAGTAATTTTAAAAGCTTAGTAATTATCTGTACTCTAGGATTATAGAACATGAGAGTAAATTTTCAGGGCCTGATACTTTTTTGAAGCAATGGTTAAAAAACTGAAACTTAAATTCGTAGCTGTTAAGTGTAGTCAGTGTGAATTGTCAGTCCCTTATTGTGAGATCCTCAGTCATCTCTTAGGTGATAAAATTTGCCTTCTAATTTACTTTTTTGTTTTTGTTTATTCCTCTAAAAAAGATTCAGGGAAATAATATTGCATAAAGTTTTTTTTTACCATATTTGGATGTGTTTGAACATGTTTAAATGCATTTTTCTTGATTATGTGGTGATGCCCTTCTGCATTTCTGTATTCATTTAAAAATATTAATTAGATGTAACTTTTAAAGGTATTGTTTATACGATTTCCATTTTTGAGTGCTTATTTTGGTTTACTTCTTGGTTTGTGTATTTGTTCATTTATTTTGTTAGAGAACATATGTGAGTTGTAGACCTCCAAGGACTTGTTATACATATTCTGATATACTTGTCAATGAGCAGCATCGTGCTTGACTATAGTAGTCATGAATGTTAGCTTTATATCCCTCAAAACATTGTAAGTTTTGCTCTATTGCTTTTAGGAAGGAAAAACGTATTATATTGAAGAAGTTTGATGTCATTTTAACTTTTGCTTGTGAAATTTTTTTTCTTAACCCTGAAATGGAAAAACAAAATTATTTTACATTTATATAAGCATTTCTTCATTAACATTTTCTGACAATTGATCTGTCTTTAATGACTTTTCAGTAGAGATACTTGACATAGGGACCCTCCAAAAGAAGATACTTCAGTATTATATTTGGTTTGGGAGATCCTACATGCATAAGTTATCTATTGCCATGTAAAAAATTTACCCCAAAACATAATGGCTTTAAAACAATATCCATTTATTATCTCTCAGTTTCTGTGTGCCAGGAATCCAGGCATGATGTAACTGAATCTTCTACCTCAGTCTTTCTCACAAGGCTGCAGTCAAAGTGTCAGCCAGAGCTGGGAACTCATGTGAAGGCTTGATTGAGGAAGGATTGTACTTCCAAGTCAACTTGGTCCTAATCTAGTGCTTTTTTCACTGCAACACATATTGGCGTATTGTTAATTTATTTGACAGTCACATTTGGATCTCATATCAAGCCCAGAAAACACCTAGTTCATTTCTTTTTGTTACTCAGTTGTACGTTTTGTGTGTGGTGCGTGTGAGTGCATGTGTGTGTGTGTGCATGTGTGTGTGTGTGTGTGTGTGTGTGTGTGTGTGTAGCTAGAGATAGTTACACAGGGGGTCAGGAAGGGAGGAGAGTGTTGACCACTTTTTTCTATTTTAAAAATTGTAGTACTTTTTTTTCCTCCATAGGTGCCTTAGCTGGACCAATTATTGTGGAGCCACATGTCACAGCAGTATGGGGAAAGAATGTTTCATTAAAGTGTTTAATTGAAGTAAATGAAACCATAACACAGATTTCATGGGAGAAGATACATGGCAAAAGTTCACAGACTGTTGCAGTTCACCATCCCCAATATGGATTCTCTGTTCAAGGAGAATATCAGGGAAGAGTCTTGTTTAAAAAT
Organism: Homo sapiens; assembly: GCF_000001405.40. Classification (NCBI taxonomy): domain Eukaryota; kingdom Metazoa; phylum Chordata; class Mammalia; order Primates; family Hominidae; genus Homo; species Homo sapiens. The sequence continues at coordinate 111,112,245 of NC_000003.12, forward strand.
TACTCACTTAATGATGCAACAATTACTCTGCATAACATAGGATTCTCTGATTCTGGAAAATACATCTGCAAAGCTGTTACATTCCCGCTTGGAAATGCCCAGTCCTCTACAACTGTAACTGTGTTAGGTAGGTATGCTTGAATTATGTATTTTGGTGATAGTGGTGAAGATTATAATAAAAATATTTTTAAGAAATTAAAATGGTTGAAATTTGATTTAACTTTAGGTTTAAAGTAAAATAATTCAAATACGATTTTTCAAGATCCTTCTTAAAATTTATGATTCTAGGTTCCCTGTAAATAAAATCTTGTCTATATATACCTACTTATCTATGTAATGCTACATAGTTTTATCTAGTTTCTTTATGAAAGATAGTGATGAGTTTTAATTATATACTAAGTTCTGAGTTTCTGTGACATCTTTATTTTCATTACCTCCCCTCAAATTTTCAGCCTTTAATCAAATTACCATCTTAAATTTTTTCATTTTTAAAAAATTGAGTTTTGCATCTAGGAGCCATTGACACCTCATGTTTTACTATTTCATATCACATTTTATTCCTGCTATTTTAGATTTGCATAGCTATCTGAATATGGTGCTTTTGCTCATAATAGTGATATTCCACTATTTCCTATGATACCTGTTAAAGTTTATGGTAAAATGTTGAAAAAGCTCGTTAACTTTAAGCTACTTTCAGTGAAATGTAAACCAATTTGGAAATGCTGATAAGTACTTTTGAAATGATAGAAATGAAGATTGAGGAGCAATAGCAACTGGTGGCTGCTCACATGAAGATCTACTGCCTAGATTCTTACTCAAACAGCTACTGGCAGTGTGGGTAGCTGACAGCGTCCAGCTGTTAGGTCCTTTAAGATTACTTCAGTTTTCAGGGCTATTCTTTTTGTGAGTGACCTCAGGCCAGTGACTAAGTGAGGCAGTGGTAGCCAGGGGTAAGCTCTTCTTGGGGCCAGTGATTGAACAAGATAGTGGTGTGAAGAGTTTTACCCAAAGTGGACTCCTTTAATGGAATATGACCATTGGCCTGAATGGAGACTTTGTCAGGGTACTGATAGCTCCCCTTACTCAATTCATTCTTCCTTCTCCCTTTTCTCCCAGTTATCACTCCCTGGTAAACCTTTTATACTTCTCACATCACAGTGTCTGCTTCCTGGAGAACCAAACAAGTTAATAGCTCCTAATGTTTAAGGACATAATAGTAATGTCTCTGAAGTATAGGACAGCAATTTTGTCCAAATTTATTATATATTTTTTCATGTTGAGAGATATTCTTTTAATTAGATATTTGAGGCTTAGTATATTTAAGACACTGCCCTAAGAGCTATGGGGAAATATAACTTACATTTAAGAGATTGATGTTTTTGAGAAATTTTCTGATTAGAAGGCAAGGCATGAATATCTGAAAACTCACATGGAGGACATCAGTAAAAAAGGTAACACAAAGTACTGTATGGCTCACTCCTGTAATCCCAGCACTTTGGGAGGCTGAGGCAGATGGATCACTTGAGGCCAGGAGTACAAGACCAGCCTGGCCAGCATGGCAAAACCCCATCTCTACTAAAAATACAAAAATTAGCCAGGCATGGTAGTGCATGCCTGTAATCCCAGCTACTCGGGTGGCTGGGTCTTGAGAATCACCTGTACCTGGAGGCGGAAGTTGCAGTGAGCCGAGATTATACCACTGCACTCCAGCCTGGGCAACAGAATGAGACTGTGTCTCTAAATAAATAAATAAATAAATAAATAACAAGTACTTTGCATATGAAAGAGCAAGCTCATGGGGATAAAATCACTTTTTATTTTGCTTTAAAGTTTAGTAGTTCCCTCTCAATTAATACAATACTTATTGGCTTAAAATCCAGGCTGTTTGTTACAAGATTAGTCATTATGTTGTCCACACCTACTTTTCTCGCTTCATCTATTCTCCTTGCTTCTCTTTTTTCAAAAACCCAAGTCTTATCATCATCATAAACTATTTGCAGTTCTTTTAACCTATGCTTTTATGGGTGTTTCTCTTTCTGCCTGGATTGCCTTTTTTTCTGGCCTTTCTTTCTTCCGTGTAACTATTATTCATCAAATCACATCCTTTTAGTAGCCATTCTTGACCCGTTTCCCCAAATCTGATACTTTTTTGGCTGTCATTGTTATGTTGAACATATCTTTATTGTAGCAGTTACCACACTATTATGTTTTCTCCACTATAAACATGTAGTGGAGAGTAACTGTGCATTTAAAAATGTAATTTTATGTCCCTAAAGCCAGTAAGAGTTTCCAGTATATAGCAGTCATACAGTGTTATTTGAGTAGGATATAGGAATGGATTAGTGAACTTGGTAGTCAAGAAATATTTCGTAGGAGAAATAGTTGAGTCAGTCCTCAGTGGTGTGAGTAGGTTTTGGGCAGGCAAAAATGAAAGAATATGAAAATGGTATTCTAGGATTGTGATAGTATGTGAACGAAGGCAGGGAAAACAGAAAATGATATGCAGTTCACCCTTGAACATCATGGGTTAGAGCTGTGTGGGTCCCTTTATACATGGATTTTTTTTTCAACTAACTGCAAATAGAGAATAGAGTATTTGTAGGATGTGAAACCTGCATATATGAAGGGCCAACTTTTCCTGTACACAGGTTCCATAGGGCTAACGGCAGGACTTAAGTATGCACGGATTTGGGTATACTCAGGGACACTGGAACCAACCCTCACCCCACCGCAGAATACTACGGGACCACTATACATTAAGGGAAAGTTTTCTTAACCCCAGTATTGTTGAAATTTGGGGGCAGAATTCTTTGTTGTAGTGAGCTGTACTATTCATTGTAGACAGCATCCGTGGCCTCTAAACACTATGCCAGTAAATGCCAATAGCATTCCTCAGTTGTTAAACTCATAATGTCTCCAGACACTGCCAAGTGTCCTCAAGAGGGGAGCAGGAGTTAGTGGGGAATCACCCCCTGTTGAGAGCCCTGCATTAGTGGAACACTGAATAAGTAATTTATTGATTGTTCAAAGGATTTATATGAAGTACAAGAATTAAAGTTTAGAATTATAGAGTAGGACCACGTTAAAGTAACTTAAATGCTAGGATAGGGAATTTGAGCTCTATATTACTGGAAATTCATATTTGTATTCAGTAGTTGTGCTGCCTCTCACCTGTCTTCTATTCTCAGCCCCTTGCTGTTTAAAATATAGTTCTTGGACCAGCAGCATTGGCATCACTTGGGAACTTGTTAGAAATACAGAATTTCAGATCCCTCTTAGGCTTATTGAATGATAGTCTGCATTTTAGCAAGATTCCCAAGTGACTTATGTACACAGTAAAGTTTGAGAAACACTGCTTTGATCACATCACATAGAGGAATGCCTAACTCACGGCTGACCTGATTTAGAGAGTACTGTGATGACACTTGTGATTAGGAAGATGGGTCTGGTGTTTTTGATCAATTGAAATGAAGAGGTCCTTAAATCATAATGTCTCAGCCATGAGGCCATGAAGACTTGCAATTAATTTTGTAATTTCTGCCACATGAATGAAGACAAGAACTATTACAGAGGAATAATTAGCAGAATTTTGTAACTGATTGGATATAAGAAGTAAGGAAAGTTTGAACAGTAATAGCTTTTGAAAGTTTGTGATTAAATTCTGTTACTGCTAGTTAAATGGGCACATCTGAATAAAAACAGGTGTTGGTGATTGGGAGGATAAAATAATTTTGGTGTTAGGTTTATTGAGTTTGAGGATCTGTAGGTGGAAATAACCAGGTGTAGGTAGTTAGAAGCTGAAGCATCAAGCCTTGTATTAAAATTGGGGAAAGTTCAGAATCATCTGGGTAGTAGTGTTTATCAGATAAAAGTTTTTAAGTGAGATACAAAAGTAATTGCAGGCCCAGGGCTGATTATTTATTTAAAGGAAGGGGTTAGAAAAAATAGGAAGAGCTCTCAGAGAGAGTTATAAGAAGAACTCAGGCAGAGTAATATCATATCAAGAAAAGATATGAAAGTTTTTAAGAAAATGTTATTCTAGCAGCCATTTCCACAGTAAGAAGTAAGCCCTACAGAAAATGTTTTGACTATTTTTTAGTTTCTCCTAAGGACAGCACTTAGCTAGTATCATTCTAAATCCATAGCCTAGGAATTAATTCATTACTTACAACAAATACTGTAACACATTAGGACTTAATTCTTTTCAACTGATTGGAAAGAGCTGTGCTGAAGTATCAAATTCTACAAAGTTAAAGAGACTAGACATAAAAGTGTTGAGTTTTAGATTAGGGGTCTTTGATGACATTAGAGTTTCAATGGAGTGGTAGTAGCAGAACCAAATTTAAGGAATGTAGTATTTGCACCACGTATAATCACAAATGACTGTTTTCCCAAATTTATGTAGAACTTTTACTCACCAGTAAGAAAAAAATAGACACCTGGCTATGATAGGCATTTTGCAGAAGAAAGGTTCCAAATGATTCATAAACATATGAAAAGATCTTCAACCTTATTCATAATCTGAGATATTAAAAATAAAATCTCAGTGGTATACCATTACATACCTATCAGATTGCAAACATTGAGAAGTCTGTGATAATATCAGCTGGGTGACAATATCAGCTGGTGAGTATATGGACCAGCAGGAGCTCTAAGATTGGGAGTAAATTGGTACTGTGGAAAGGTTTTTGAAATTATCTGATAAAGTTGAAAATAAGTAGTAGCAATTCTAGGGATATACTTGTGCACAAATATGCTAAGATACATGAATGGAAATGTTTCTTGTAAAATTGTTCAGATGAAACAGGAACTCCATTGTCCATTAGTAAACTATAAAGCAATTAAAACTAATAATATATACAATTGTATGTAAATCCAAATGATCTAAAAATAAAAAAGTAAAAAAATGAATTCCAAAAACAATAAGCTAAAGCTAAATGTTCCAATATGAATGAATCTCCAGAACACAAAGTTGAGTCAAAGAAAAAGTACAAAAATACGTATGGTCCAATTCCATTCTTAGAAAGTTCAGAAACAGGCTAAACTGTGTTGTTTAGATTTGCATGTGTTGGTTGTAGAACTATAATGAAAAACAAACCATTGATCTCCAAAGTCAATATAATAGTTTCACATTGAGGTAGGCAGGTTTTTAAGATGTAGTAGAGGAATATGAGGGACTTGTGAGGTTCCAGTAATAATGTTTGTTAAGATGTGTGGTGGTTATATGGATGTTTGCTGTAAAATTGTTCATTGCGTGTGTTGCATGTACTTTTTCATTTGTTATTTTACAGTAATGCATCTTATGAAAGGAACTACATAAGGAAAATAATCATATCCATGAGAGTAAAATGTGAAATAAAAATAGGTTTCAAAGTAAAATATGAAACAAAAATTGGTTCTTTCAATACCATCAAGAACAGATGGTATTAAAAGAACCAACTTGAAGTCCTGGAAATGAAAAAAAAAATCATTGAAATAAAAACTCAATGCACAGAGTAAACTAAAGACTGAACACAAAATTTATGAAGTCAGTACTGAGGAATTACACAGAAGCACCTAACAATTGCTGGAAAATGTGAAAAGATAGCTAAGAGATATTGGGGGCAGAGTAGATTGAGAGGTTCTAACATTGTTACTTTACCCTGCTGAGGAACTTTCTTATATTGGAAGAAAATAGGTGGTATGTACATTCCAGTAAACTTAACTATTAGTGATGGTACGTTAGGATGAGCTTAAAGTATATTTTGTAAATAAAAGTAATTGAACACATTCAGCAGCCCTAATTGGTTCTTTTGGGTATATGAGTAGTTAAAGGTTGAAAGTTCAAAAGGCAGTGTTTTAAATGAAATTATTGAGTCACTTACTGGGCCAAGAAAAACATTTCATCTCCAATAGGTATGCTCAGAAGAACTTTTTTTATTTCTTAACATTTTAACAGTAAGTCATAATCATAACTTATTTTTAAAAGTATTTGCTTTAAAATTTTTTTACTGTAAAATGAAGCTATATATATATATATATATATATATATATATATATTATACATATATAAAACTTATCTTCCAGAGAAGTAATACCTTTAATCTCATAAAGGGAATTGTGATCTCGTTCACAGAAATTTTTTTTATATATTAAGTTGGAAGGAATTCATCGTTCCCTAAAGGAATGTATATCTTTATCAGGTAGAGCCATCTTTGTAGTGGTGGTATGAATTCCTGGTCTCATTTGTCCTAGTTTATGATCTTTTGTTTTTCCAAGAATGTAATTGACGATGGCATTACCTAAAAAGTGTGTGTAGATTTTTATATGCAGTTGTCCTTAAGCTTGTGAAATATGTTTAGATGTGACTTGGAAAGATATAAACATATTCTTGTTTGAATGTAACTAATTATTAAAAAAATATTTAAACAGTTGAACCCACTGTGAGCCTGATAAAAGGGCCAGATTCTTTAATTGATGGAGGAAATGAAACAGTAGCAGCCATTTGCATCGCAGCCACTGGAAAACCCGTTGCACATATTGACTGGGAAGGTGATCTTGGTGAAATGGAATCCACTACAACTTCTTTTCCAAATGAAACGGCAACGATTATCAGCCAGTACAAGCTATTTCCAACCAGATTTGCTAGAGGAAGGCGAATTACTTGTGTTGTAAAACATCCAGCCTTGGAAAAGGACATCCGATACTCTTTCATATTAGACATACAGTGTAAGTAAATGGTAACATTTACTTTTTAAATATTTGTCAGCATGTTTATCAAACTATTTTTAGTTTGAATATTTAATAGCTTTTCCTTGTTTTTGTTTTTCTTTTAATTTTGTTTGTTTTCATGGAAATTTCATTTAACCAGAACATTTTTAATCACTTTTGTAAAGATGGACAGATGACTTTAAAGTTGCTCTCCAACTTAAAATTATATAACCATTTCCTTTTAAGATCTTAAAAGTAGGCTGGACTTAGGGAGTTATGGCAACTTGTCCCTCAAAATGTACAATGCTAAAGGGCAAACAACTTCTACATTCTAATTAATTGAGCTGTTATTCAGTTTCACCAATGCTCACCATCTTGTTTCCTTGTTGTTGGTGTTTTTGAGATGGAATCTTGCTCTGCCGCCAGGCTGGACTGCCGCCAGGCTGGAGTGTAGTGGCGTCATCTCTGCTCACTGCAACTTCCGCCTCCCGGGTTCAAGTGATTCTCCTGCCTCAGCCTCCCAAGTAGCTGGGATTACAAGCGTGCACCACCACGCCCTGCTAATTTTTGTATTTTTAGTACAGATGGGGTTTCACCATGTTGGCCAGGATGGTCTCCATCTCCTGACCTTGTGATCCTCCCGCCTTGGTCTCCCAAAGTGCTGGGATTACAGGCATGAGCCACTGCATGTGGCCTTATTTTCTTTGTCTTTCCTATATGCATATTAATTAGTTTGAAAAGTTTCTTAGTGTTTAATACATTCTTTGTGATTTGTATACCATTTAAAAATTTCAGGTAGTAAAAAAGGTGATGGCTGCAGATAGCTTATAGCAAAGATAATGAAAATTAGGAACATTAGAAAAGTAGGTTCTGCTTTTACTTCTATCCATGTGCAAATTATAAATCTAGGTGTTTTTGAGGGAGTTCTATTCTTTGTTGTTGCTACTTACTTGCTTTTTGATATGACATGCATGGAGTTTTAAATTACACATATTCATTACACTTGGTGTAATCATTTTTAAAGCTAATTCCCAGGATCTTTTTCAACCTTTATAGGGTTAACTTGAAAAGCTATAGTTTAAAAAATGTTACTACCATTGCATTCTTAAATGCTAATACCATCTTTTCTCAATTCTCTGGAGAATCGTGTTAAAATTTTTCTTTTTCCTTTTCCTACCTTGCTTTTACAGAGTGTTAACTTTTTTCTTTTTCTCATAAAATTCAGATCCCAATTGGAAGTTAATGTATTTTGCATATCCATATATGTTTACCTTTCCAGTGTCTAATAATGACTGATATTTTCAATTTGTTTTTTTTTGTTTGCTTGAATGAAATCTTAGATATATTTCTTCTAATGTAAGTGTTTATAATATGGTATTGATTTGTTGGCTTACTCCTAAAATGTTCTTAGAATAGTCATGACATTTTTCCTTTTGTAAATTGGAGACCTATAAGACATGTAAACAAACTTAAATATTGTCTTATAGCACAAATTTATACCTCAATATTTAGAGATATCCTCTTGGGATACTTTTATGCCTAAACTCACAGGTATCTGGACTGTTCTTTCAGCAACATTTTTTAGTACCACTTTTAAGTTACAAAAATATTTGTTAATCTTTGTTTTTTTTTAATTTCTGAGATAATAGTACCTTATCAAAAGTTCAATTTTTTACCACTATTTTGTAAATTTTGCTTTCCAGTAGGACAGTCTTCCCTGGCAGAGGTAAAGACTGATCTGGTCTCTCTCTCTAGTTTCTCATCAGATCATGTGCTGCTAACTTAGTTTTCTATGTAGCTCACAGAAAGCTAGAGAGTCTCTGCATCATACATAACTAGCACTTCATTGGGGAAGCCTTTTATCACCTCCAGCCCCATGCCCAACTTAAATTAGGCCTTTCTTTTTATATTCTCTCAGCATCCTACTCTTTTTCTTCTTGGCCCTCATAAGGAGTTTTAGTTAAGTATTTTTAAATGTCATCTTCCCTATTACTATTAGAATATAAATTTTATGTATATAAAGTCTGTGTGTATACCAAACACCTAAAACAGTGTATTATTTCTTTCTTTTTTTTTTTTTTTTTTTGAGATGGAGTCTCACTCTGTCGCCCAGGCTGGAGTGCAGTGGCGCGAACTAGGCTCACTGCAAGCTCCGCCTCCCGGGTTCGTGCCATTCTCCTGCCTCAGCCTCCCGAGTGGCTGGGACTACAGGCACCCGCCATCACGCCTGGCTAATTTTTTTTTTTTTTTTGTATTTTTTAGTAGAGATGGGGTTTCACTGTGTTAGCCAGGATGGTCTCAATCTCCTGACCTCATGATCCTCCCGCCTCAGCTTCCCAAAGTGCTGGGATTACAGGCGTGAGCCCCCGCGCTGGGCCAAAACAGTGTATTATTTCTAAGTGCCATGCCTGGCACTTATTAGGAGCTAAACAGAGTGATGGTTGAATGAATGATAGTTATTGGACTTAGTAGTTTGGAAGTATATATTTATATTGCTGGTAGATATGGATAATTGCTCATTCAACTAGTTGTGTTGCACATATGCTAAAAGACTTTTGGGTACATGGAATGGATGAAAATTCATGTTTTAGTACATTTGAAGCCCTAGCTAATTTACTTCAGTTTTAAGTATGTAGTCATGGAAAGCCTGTGTCACATCTCTACATGCCCCCAATATATTAATTAATTGTAACATAGGGAATCTAGTCACTGTAATTGACCTGATACCTCTTAGAAGATATTTCCTTTTAGATTAAATATCTCATTAAAGACTGTTTTATATGGTGACTTGGTACTACATGGTACTTAAATACCATGTCTTATTTAATTAAATACTATAATGTATTTGCTTTGTTCCTGTATCTCTACATCTCGCATAATAGGATTCTTACATTTTGCTTTTGGTGATTATAGGTTTATGAATATTCCTTAACATTCAGCATTTCTAATTACTCAAACTGTATGTAGTAGAATTGCCTGTTTGGGGGGTACTCATTCTCCATTTTATTCTTTCAGTCAGCCAATACTTGTGGAGTAGTGTCTTCTGTATTGATTATACATGTTGAGACTAAGGAAAAATGGTTCCTGTTATTCTAAGGCTTTGTCTATTATCTTAATATTTTATCATGTATATTGCATTTATCATTAACAAAAGGTAATCTGTCCTGTCATGCATTTATTTTATAGATGCTCCTGAAGTTTCGGTAACAGGATATGATGGAAATTGGTTTGTAGGAAGAAAAGGTGTTAATCTCAAATGTAATGCTGATGCAAATCCACCACCCTTCAAATCTGTGTGGAGCAGGTAATGTTATATACTTCGAAAGAGAAATTATCTAAAAGTGAAACCTTCTTAAATCCCCATTCTAAATTGTTTTTATCTGTATAATACATGATTATAGTAATAGCAGAAAATTTTAATTAAATTTTCTGTCTTATCCTTCCCCACCTGTCCCCACCTTCCTACCCCCTCAGTTCTGATCTTTAGAGGCTACTTTAGCAATTTTAGCAGTTTCTTACGGTTAGTTACAGTCAGAGGTCTTAAGCTGCTACTACTTAATAGTTTTTAACATTGTCAATTGACTTCTTAGATAAATAATTATAATTTTATGTCTACTCCTTCATTTACAAACACACCCATATACACACATTCCTACCTTTCATAGTCCAAACGAAATTTTAGCTATTTTAAATTAAACTCAGTAATCACTGTTTGCTTCTCTAGGACAGGTAAATGTTACTAAGAGCTAAGTAGTAGTATACCAGACTTCTGTTTTCTCTTGTCTATAGCCATTTGTTTTCCTAATGGCTAATATTTGCCTCTTTTTACTTGTGTAGTTACTACGTGCATAATTTTCTTTCTCTGAAATTTCAAACTGTTATACCAAGGTTTTTATTCATATTTTGTCAGTATTTAGGGCCTATTTTGATCTCCAGATGTATCTATCAACTTGAATAATTTTCTTATTTTTTGGTCATTTCCCTCTTTTTTATTCCTGTTCACTCTTTTTGGAACTCCTGTTTATTGTATAATAAATATCCTTTCTTTTATATTTTCAGATGGTCTTATTCTTCCTAGAAGATTTTCTTGATTTTTTTTTAAATTTTCCATTGACTTAATGATATAAATTTTTTTTGGCCTGTTTTCAGTTTTTAAGAGCGTCTTCTCATAAGACGGAGCATCTTCTCATTGAATATTCATTAGAGAATGAGAAGATGCTCTTATAAACTGAAAATAGGCCAACAATAAAAATATGTTATTTTCATAGCACGCTTTTCTTATTTTATGAGTGTAGTATCTTTCTTGTTTCTTCCCAGGGATACTAGAATTATTTCTTCCCCAGATAGTTTTTTTCTGCTTTCTACATACTATCTCTTTTCCCTCCAAGTTCTTTTATTTTTTGGTTTGGTCTTTCATTATGTAGATATTTCTTAATCTTGTTGGTTGTTTAGTCTTTCACAGTGAAGCATTAAATAAAATGCTTAGTGGATGCTTTCTCTGCAGTGGGGATTGCTCATTAGATTCCACTTAGAGTAATCAGGTAGAGATGTGATTATTTTCCTGGAGAGGCTCCAGATACCACTAATAGAAGAGTGGAAGTCTTTATTTCGTGGCCAGTTTATTTCTAGAATTAACCTGCATTTTTTTGCCCCAGAGATGAATGTCTGGTATTTGTACAGAGTTGGGAGGAATCTGTTGTTCTGTTGTGTATCTTTTAACTTGCTCTTGGCCTCCTTCTAGTTTTCTGAGGTACAGTGAGTTGAACTCCAAATTTTTTTTTGGATTCTTTGGACCAAATTGGCTGCTTTCTCATCCATGTGTTTTTCATAAGCAACCCTTCACCCTGAAGTACAACTTTTCAACTTTGGCACTATTGATATTTTAGGCCGATAATTAGTTTTTGTAGTGTGCAGTCCTGTGAATTGTAAGATGTTTTGAAGCATCCCTGGGTTGAGAAACACTGACCTAAGGCATATATTGTTTTTTAAATCTATTTTCTGTCTTCTAAAAGTGTGTTGAAACATCTTGTCTGTTGAATTCTGCCTCCTGTTTTCTCCTCTAGGGTTTTTAATAACTTTTTAATTTCTGTACTCTTCCTGGTGGGATTTTATGGGAGTTAGGAAGCACTATATCTGGTCAATCAGTTGTCTTTAAGCCTGGATACTATTTTAAAGGTAGAGAAAACCTTTTTCATTTACATTTTTTTTAAATGGGAAGCAGTCATTAGTTAAGATTTTTATTTGATAGAGTGTTTCTAAAAGCCATACAACTCTGGATTCTCATCCCAATGTCTAAACTTCTATATGTCTTTTTTGAGTAAATCATTTAACCCCTCTAATCCTAAATTTCCTTGCCAGTAACAGTACTTCATAGAGTTTTTGTGAGGTACAGACAATGAATATAAGTCATGTAACATAGACACAAGGGCATAGAAGATGCTTTTGTTGTAGGTTTAATGTGATATTTAGATATTTCTAAGTCATTTTACAATTTCTCAGAGAATTAAAGGGATTAAAACTTTGAGCCCAAAGTACAAAGGTAATTGTTAAGACATATATAGTTTATTTTCATTGTTATCCTTGTAGAAAGTTTATCTTTTGAAAGCCGATACTTGCAAAAATTTTCTTTCCAAAGCCTTCTAAAGAAAAAGGTTAGGTGCTTTTGTTTTCGTTTTTTAAACCATGTAAGCATATTATCTTTATCCTTCAGTGCTGAATTGAAGTACTACCAACTCTAAAAGATTTTACAGATTATTTTACCACTCACTACACTTGAGATCGCAAAACAAAATTATTCTATCTGTTCTTCAGTGTTGATTTGCTTCTTTCCACCTTTTTATTATTGTTTGTTCTTATTCCCTGTGTAATCATTTGTCAATCTTCTATGTACTTACATAATTGAAAATAGAGACTACATTTTATTTACTTCTGTATCTCAGCACCACCAGCAAAGCAGAGTATGGCAAATAGTGGGCTCCTAGTAATTGAATGAAGGAATAAGTGAATAAACTTTTTGAAAATCTACTTAGCCTAAACTGTAGTAGTTGAGCACCTAGGTTTACTTGACTTTTTAATCTTCTTTTCTTTCTTTTTTTTTTTTTTTTTTTTTTTTGAGACAGAGTCTCACCCTGTCACCCAGGCTAGAGTGCAGTAGTGCCATCTCGTCTCACTGCAACCTCCCCTTCCTGGGTTCAAGTGATTCTCCTGCCTCAGCATCCCAAGTAGCTGGGATTACAGGCACCCGCCACCATGCCCAACTAATTTTTGTATTTTTAGTAGAGACAGGGTTTCTCCATGGTGGCCAGGCTGGTCTCTGACTCCTGACCTCAAGTGATGTGCCCGCCTCGGCCTCCCAAAGTGCTGGGATTACAGGTGTGAGCCACTGTGCCCGGCCTTATCCTCTTTAAAAAAACCAAAAACAAACAAACAAAAACCTTTAAGCTTTAAAAACACTTATTTGTTGTTTTTTTTGTTACCCTCAGGTTAGAAAAGTGATTTTTAGCAGTGTGCCTAGTTCCGTTACAGTGAATGACTTTAGAATTCTCATAGTGGGACTCTACATGGTTTAGAGTAATATGGATACTAGGTATAGGACCTCTTAGCCAAATTAGTGTAAATACTGTTTTAAAGAGTTATTATTGATACCAAGTGGTGTCTTGGTTTTTATTGTCACAGATGCCCACCTTACAAGTGAAATTATTTTATAGGAAGACCCATTTTGCTGTTTTAGAAACTATCTTTGGATAGAGCACAGTGTCTATTTGCATTAGCATTAAATGATGCTCTATAAATATGTTATAGAGGGTGCTAAAACATTACATATTTAAGTGAGATGACTTTGCATGAAGAAAATTGTAGATATGTCATGAATGGATCTCTGATTCAATGAGAATTTTATTTGATATTGTATGTATGTCTTCAAATAATATATTTTTCTAACTTCCAGTTTTCTGAATAAAATTTTTTTAATTATATTTTTTCTCTGCTTTTCTCCCGTTTTATTATGTTGGCAGAGCCACTCTTACATGGACTGCTATTTTGGAAGAATGGGTGTTCTTAATGGCCTTTATTCATTCATCTTTATTAAAATGAAAATTTGTTACTTTTTTTTTATACTTTCAGTGAATTTTGTCTGAGATGCTTTTTTATTTTGACTAACATCTCAAACATATAATGCCTCATTTTAACTAGCTGTCAATAAATATAGTCTGAAGATATTTAAAATAATTTTATGCATTTTAAAATCTAGGTTGGATGGACAATGGCCTGATGGTTTATTGGCTTCAGACAATACTCTTCATTTTGTCCATCCATTGACTTTCAATTATTCTGGTGTTTATATCTGTAAAGTGACCAATTCCCTTGGTCAAAGAAGTGACCAAAAAGTCATCTACATTTCAGGTAAGTTACTATCTGCTTGCAAAATGAGTTATTTAAAATATTTCTGAATAATCATAGTAACAATATGATCCTAAGCAATAATTTGTACTTGTAAAGATACAGATTCCTCAGTGTGAAGTTTTTCCAAATAATCTAAAAGGAATATGATAAAATAATCCTATCCTGAGATAGGTATGTAATGTGGCATCCTTTATTGAAATGTCAAAGTGTCTGTGCAACAAGTTTATTTACTTTTTGATGCCTGTACATATAGTTAATTTTTCAGTTCAACAGTACTATTTCTTTAATACATAGTATGACTTTCTAGATTCTTTTATCTTTACACTAAGAACAAATAGTGATTTTTTTCTTTTGCTTTGATGGCCACTTTGTACACAGTTGTCTGGTAAATAAAATGGAATATTAAATTTGATGGCTTGTTAAATAGCGTTGTTTCCCACTTAATATGGGACTATACCATATTGTGTTACTGAGAGGTGAAATAGGAATGCTACTGAAAATGTGTTAATGAAATAAAATTTGTGATGTTTTTTATTGTCTTTAAACTACTAATAGCTTAGATTTTTCACATTCTGTTTCACTTTGAATATTTTTGTTAATTTGGCTGAGTATAAATTTTGGCATTCGTAAAATAGAGAGCTAAAAATACATCTTTTCCTGGTTGTGGCTGCAAGTAATAAATTATCAATAGAATGCTTATTTATAAAAATTCAATAAAATATTTTGAGCATCTCCTTACTGATTACAAGAATGTAGCAATCTTCCTGTCTAACAAATGGAAAATTAAGAGGTAAAAGGAAGAGAACCTAAGAAACTCAGGTTTGTATGGTAATTATGGAATAAATAGTTAAGGGTTTTATCTTTGTTCAGATCTAAAACTAGATAAATTAGAGGTTTTGGTGAAATTTTGTGCTTGCTTAAGTGTTATATTCTCAGTCCTTGTGTGATCAGTCCAAGAAAAGTACCACGTATTATATTGTCTTAGAGCACTCACCACAGTTTTTAGTTGTATGCTCATTTCTTTGCTTATTATTTATCTTCACAATTCAGCAATTTGTGCTTGCTTTATTCACGACTGTATACTCAGCAGTGAGCATTGTGCCTGGCACATGATAGAGGTGCAAACTTTCTTTTTTTTTTTTTTTTTTTGCATGAGTCTAGAAAGAAGCTTAGAGCTGTATACATCCCTAGCCCTTTCTGCCAGTATCAGTACTTTGGTGGAAATCTGTATTTTTTTTTCTTTTGAGACGTGGTCTCGCTGTGTCACCCAGGCTGGAGTGAGTGCAGTGGTGTGATTTCAGCTCACTGCAACCTCTGCCTCCCGGGCTCAAGCAATCCTCCCACCTCAGCCTTCAGTAGCTGAGACTACAGGTATGCACCACCATGCCCAGCTAATTTTTGTATTTTTTGTAGAGACAGGGGTGGTCTCTCTATGTTGTCCAGGCTGGTCGTGAACTTCTGAGCTCAAGTGATCTGCCCACCTCAACCTCCTAAAGTGCTGGGATTACAAGCGTGAGCTACTGTGCCTGGCTGGAAATCTGAATGAGGTTACATATTAGTATATTACTCTCTCTTTAGTTAGAGAATAAGCCAGGGAAATGCATAGTTAAAATATACTTAAGGACTGTTTATTTTGTTTCTGTTGTACAATTTGGTGTGGGATATTACTTGTAGACCTTAGACTCAATATGTCTATGTAATCATTTAAATATCAAGGCTTGACTGGGCGTGGTGGCTCACACCTGTAATCCCAGCACTTTGGGAGGCCGAGGTAGGTGGATCACCTGAGGTCAGGAGCTTGAGATCAGCCTGGCCACTATGGTGAAAACCTGTCTCTACTAAAAATACAAAAATTAGCCGGCATGGTGGTATGCGCCTGTGATCCCAGCCACTCAGGAGTCTAAGGCAGGAGAATCGCTTGAATCCGGGAGGCAGAGATTGCAGTGAGCCCAGATCGTGCCATGGATGACAGAGCGAAACTCTGTCTCAAAAAAAAAAAAAAAATTAAAAAATAAATATCAAGGCTCATTTTGGACACTCTTGTATGTACTGATTTAATTGATAATATCCTAAATTTATACTCTTTTATCATTCTGAGTGCAGTGTTCAGTACTCTTGACTTGTGTGTCCAATTGCCTATTAATGATCATTAACTCTATGTAGTAGTCTAATAGGTATTTACAACTTAACATATTCAAAACCAAGGTCTTGATCTTTCTATTGCTCCTTGATACCAAACATATTTCTGTACTCATCTTCCTTCTTTCAGTTACTGGTACTTCTTTCCTTACATTTGTTCAGGATACAACCCTTGATAGTTATTCTTGATTTTGCTTTTTCTCTCACACCCTAGTTAATTCATTAACAAATCAATACCAGCTCTTCCATTATGTTAAATATAGAATCTTAACAGTTCTTCAACTCTTCTACTACTACTACACTAGTCTAAGCCATAAGCCACTCTTATTTCACTATTACAATAACCATTTAATCTCCCTACTTTGCCTGTGTCCCCCTTCAGTTTGTCAGCAAATGAGCAGCTAGGGTAGTTCTTTTAAAGGACATGTCAGCTCATGTCACTCCTCTCCTCAAAACCTTCCATGGGCTTCCCATTTTACCCACAATGAAAACCAAATCCTTACAATGACTTACAGAGCCCTTCTTCCAGATGATCTCTCTAATTTCATTTCTTATATGTTTTGCTCATTGGCTGAGTCACTACTGGACTCCTTGCTGTTCTTCAAACATAGCAGGCACATTCCTACCTCAGAGTCTTTTGCATTTGCTGTTTTCACTGCCTGGAATGCTTTTACCAGGTATCATCAGAGTTCTTTACCTCACTTCTTAAGGCCTTCACCTTCACCTTTTTCAATGAGGTCTTCCTTCATGGTTATATTTGAAATAAAATACCCTCCCTTCTCACCCCTTTGCTACTATTGGTCCCCTTCTTTTTCTCTTTAGCACGTATTGCCATGTAACCCCATGTATTGCCATGTAAATATGTAAAATATTTACATATTTTCTTGTTTTTATATGCTTGTCTGTTTTTACCCTCAGAACGTAAGTCTAAACATAAAGCCTGCTTTAATTACTGCTATATTTCCATTATCTACAATGATGTTTAGCATATGATAGACGTTCAATACAGTTTTGTTGCATGAATGAATAAATTTGAGAATAAAACAATCAGGAATCAATTTACAAATCCAGAATCTGCTTTTGTGTAACTTAACTCTTTAAAAAGGGAAATCAAATTTTGAGTAAATATGAACAAAATCAGTTTCAGCACTTTCGAAGAAGTGGCGTTATATGAGATAATTTTTTTTTTTTTTGGAGACAGTCTCGCTCTGTCGCCCAGGCTGGAGTACAGTGGCACTATCTTGGCTCACTGCAACCTCTGCCTCCCGGATTCAAGCAGTTCTCCTGCCTCAGCCTCCCAAGTAGCTGAGACTACAGGCACACGCTGCCATGCTCAGCTAATTTTTTTGTATTTTAGAAGAGACAGGGTTTCACCGTGTTGCCCAGGCTGGTCTTGAACTCCTGAGCTCAGGCAATCCACCCACCTCAGGCTCCTAGTGTGCTAGGATTACAGGTGTGAGCCACTGCGCCCAGCAGAGAATTTTTTTTTTTTTTTTTTTGAGACAGAGTCTTGCTCTGTCGCCCAGGCTTGAGTGCAGTGGAGCGATCTTGGCTCACTGCAGGCTCCGCCTCCCGGGTTCACGGCCACTCTCCTGCCTCAGCCTCCCAAGCAGCTGGGACTACAGGTGGCCGCCACTACGCCCAGCTAATTTTTTGTATTTTTAGTAGAGATGTGGTTTCACCATATTAGCCAGGATGGTCTCGATCTCCTGACCTCATGATCCACCAGCCTCGGCCTTCCAGAGTGCTGGGATTACAGGCATGAGCCACCGCACCTAGCCGAGAATGTTTTTTTTTTTTTGGTAATCAGTAGTTAGACTTTACTTTTCTATCCAGAGTCTGTAACACAGCATACTATCCTGAGATTAGTTAACTCATCTAACAACTGCTTGGAGTATGTCAGGTATCCTAGGTATAATGCTGCCTTTCCAGAATGACTATTTAGTAAAACCTAGTAGGCTTTTACAAGAGTGAGAAGCCATAATTCACAAAATAAATGACCAGTTAATCTTTTTCATTGTTACATGTACTCATTTTCCTCTAGGAAAAAAATGTTACCTCAGTATTAAAATAGATATTTAAAAATTTGAGAAATTATTTTTAATATATGTAAAATAAATGCATCTTAGGACTAGAGATGAAAAGTTCTGCTCAGAACAGAATAAGCAACTCTGAGGGAAATTGTTCTTAATTTTGTTACACATTTTCCCACATTGATAAATGTAAGATTTTGGATAACAGGTTTTTGATTTAGGATTGCAATATTCAACCTCAGTTATTAAATTGTACTCTATTATATAATAGTAATACTCTCAAGAGGTATAGTAGCTCTTTGACTAGTACTTACTGACTACTGGAAATTGTGTTTTTCTGGTTTGCTTTTGATGTATATTTTTCCCTTAACTAATACCTGTTTCTTATCTTTAAATTTAGAAAAGCAAATTTTGATATGTCAAATAAGTGCCCCTATGTCTAAAACTCTTATTCCTGTGCACAGCTTGAATTTCAGGTCATATTGATTTTAGGATCCAAGTGTAGTTTCAAACTTAAGAATCTGCTTACTTAGCAATCCTTAAACATTAAAATGCATTATTTCATATATTTAAACACCTATATGAAGTCTAAAAGAAAAATAAGCCAATTAATTTTTATGACACTAAAAATATACCTTAGAAGACTAAAATATGCCTTTTACGGGGCATTACATGACTATTTTATGGTTTGGCAGAACTCATTAGAAAAGGAAACTTAAAGTTCTTCATTTGGGTGAGAAGAACTATAAAAGTCATTATATCCATTATATACTCATTTATCACACAGTCAGCAAAGAGTATGAAAAATAATATCTAACTGAAAAATGAGGAATACTTTTGGGAAGGATTTAAAATCATGATATGGTGATGAAAAATAGTCCTACCTTATAATAATTGTGACTGTCATTGTAAATTAGAAAACAGAGAAAATATTTTGCACGCATTGTCATATTTCCATTGCTTAAAATGCAAAATAATGAAGTATTAAATGGCCTCTCTTTCATGGAATGATATTACTAGTGAGGCTCAGTTATTTTTAACACTGATTAAGGAGTGGGATGGTAGGTTGAAACATTTCTAGAACCATCAACAAAAATAAGATTTTAAAGTAACCCTTTTGGTTAGATTTTTCTCAAAGCCATATTTTGTTAAATCTGAGTGAAATGGACAATAGATGACCATTTGTGTTCATATAAAGAAATTTGCAAATAGAAGTAATAAATGTCAGGGTTTCATTATTTAGGATACTTGGTAAAAATGTGTCTTATTTGGTGAGAGCTCAAATATAGTCACTGTTCTGAAAAAAACTAGCATATAAAGAACCATGAAAAACTTTAAAACTCTACTGGCAGAAAAGTATTTAAATTATAAATAATTAGATGATTTTTACTTTAATTTAAATATGCTGATGCCAGTTTATTATATTTTTTTCTTTGCAAATCATTGTAAGGATGACATTCAATACATTAAAGTTGACTTTCCCAGTACTTCTGCTTCCTCAGAAAATACATGAATCGTCTTATTTAATTTTTAGTCTATATTTTTAATGTTCTAATGCTGTGAAGTTGCATTACGTGAGACTTTACTACTTCTATATTAGACATGATCCTTCAATTCTACACTTGTTTTCTTGGGGTTGAATTAGTTCCATTAGTGAATGTTTTCATAAATTAAAACTTCTTTGATTCACTTAAATATACTCTGATAACTAATATTCATCTCAAAGTACTTGACAGGGTTACCTGTTATAAATTTAAACTCAAAATTAGTTATATTGTACTTATTAAATTTTATACTGTACTTGCTAAATTTTTACCACATTCTATACATATGGCATTCCGTGATGAAACCTGTTCAGTAAGTATTTTTCTTTAGCTTGTAATATTAGAATAACTTACCCCATGTAGATTTAGTATTTTTCTAACAATCATTTTTTAAAGCTCTATCAGTACCACTCATTTAAAAATTAATTATAGGAGATTACCATTTGGGTCATTTATTTCTTTCACTGTGAAGGAAACAATATTTTTAAACTTACCCTTTCTTCAAACTCTACAGTTTTGTGTTACATGACCTATAAATACTACTTAATTGATAATTAACCAGTCTTTAATTTTTGCTATTTATGTTTAGTTGCTTTTTAATATTACTGGCTATTTACTCTGTTATCTAATGTCAATACACAGATTCCTTTGCATCTAATATTTAAGTATTATTAGAATGTTCTCTCTAAAATATTAGCTGTTCTTTTTGAGACTCCATCCTAAAGTAGTGACATTAAATTTTGCAGATATAGTTGAAGTTTTTAAATTTCTGAATGTTTAGATAACTTGCCCATAGGGTGTTAGACATGGTGATGACATTTTTATTACTTTATAACATATTTTTACTTTGTCTATTAGTTTCCTTTGGTAATAGCCTATCAGGCTAACATAAGTTTAAACATATGCTTTTTTATTTTTTTAAATTACTAAATAATAGTGTTTACTATATATCTCCTTCCAAAAATTTTGAGCTTTTTTATTTAAAGAAAATATTTTTGAGAGAATTATTAAACCAACAGCTTATACTATGCCCACTTAACAAGAGTCTATAGTTTTTCATTCTTTTAAAGATACGCTCAGCTCTTATAAAAATAAACCATATTATTAATAGGTAAAATGGATATTAAGAAAAACTTTAATTTTTTTATTCTTTTTATTTTCTTGAGCTACTGGCTAAGAAAATGTACATTTGAATTACTTGATTTACTTTTTTGTTATAGTAATTATTAAGCTTGCTATGTAATAGGACACTTAAGTAATACTCTTCATTAAAAAAATAAGGACCTCTTTTCTGGAGTACAATATCACTCATAAACTTGGAATGGAAGAATTACAACATAGGTTTACACCATAGGTTTTATTCCTTTCTCTTTATTGGTGACTGACTAAATGTCAGTGTTGTTTTCTTTTTAAATAGATGAGTACCACTACATTCTAATCTTAATCAAATTAAGAATGAAAAACTATTGTTACTATGAATATATATTCATTAACTGTGCTGTCTTGTCAACTTGCTGCTGAATCAGCCTGCATTGACATTCTTTGCCTTTCTGTGTCTTCTCTATCTTTACTGTTTCCATTAGATCCTCCTACTACTACCACCCTTCAGCCTACAATTCAGTGGCATCCCTCAACTGCTGACATCGAGGATCTAGCAACAGAACCTAAAAAATTGCCCTTCCCATTGTCAACTTTGGCAACAATTAAGGATGACACAATTGCCACGATCATTGCTAGTGTAGTGGGTGGGGCTCTCTTCATAGTACTTGTAAGTGTTTTGGCTGGAATATTCTGCTATAGGAGAAGACGGACGTTTCGTGGAGACTACTTTGCCAAGAACTACATTCCACCATCAGATATGCAAAAAGAATCACAAATAGATGTTCTTCAACAAGATGAGCTTGATTCTTACCCAGACAGTGTAAAAAAAGAAAACAAAAATCCAGTGAACAATCTAATACGTAAAGACTATTTAGAAGAGCCTGAAAAAACTCAGTGGAACAATGTAGAAAATCTCAATAGGTTTGAAAGACCAATGGATTATTATGAAGATCTAAAAATGGGAATGAAGTTTGTCAGTGATGAACATTATGATGAAAACGAAGATGACTTAGTTTCACATGTAGATGGTTCCGTAATTTCCAGGAGGGAGTGGTATGTTTAGCAACCACTGAATGTGACTTAACTATGTACAATGTTCATTCACACTAGTTGATCATTTTCAGATTGTTCATACTTTTTCTTGAGGAAGAATAAGCTTTTTCAAGTTGATTTTCAAGCTTACTTTTTATATTCTAATCTGACAAATGAAAATGTAAAATCTGAGTTCAGTGTATCTAAGCTGCTTTACAATTTTTTTTCAATGCTGTACTACTGTCTCAAGATTTAAATTTTAATGCAGAGTACTTTATTGGTGTGAGGCACACAGGTAAGAAGAAATGTCAACATTAAATGTATGACTTACTTGGTACAAAAATTTTTTAAAAAGGGAACTACCTTGACATTGTGTATTAAATGTTTACCTAAGACTATAATCTCAAGTATGATGTTTGTTTAACATATACCTCTCAAAATTTATCACCACTCAATGACACTGCATCAAAATTGACTATAAAACTAATTCAAGAAATATTTATATATATTTTTTAATATACAAAAAATATTTAGCCTGATGGAATGGCTTTCCTTTTCAAACATTATTTTCTAAGTTTCTATACAAATGAAATCTTTACCTCTGCATATTAATGAGCCTTGCCATAATTACTGTAGAGTGGCTTTTCAAAGATATTTTGTTGCACTAAAACTGTGGTAGTAAACTCAGTGAACATGATGTGTGGAAGAGCATAATTAGCTGGTCAATATTTTTGTCCAAAATACCTGCAAGAGTAATAAAATACATACCTTTCAAACATGATAATTATTAGTTTTTTTTTTTCCTTTCTGGAACATGGATTTTGGTACATTAGCAGTAGCCTTATTTTAATGCTTTATGTCCTAAACATACTAATAGAAATGAAAAGACGCAGAGAGAGCATTTCGGAATACTGAAGTACTAGTTTTAGAAATGAGACTTTCAGCCAACAATCTATAGAAAGAATTTTATGGACCATCTTGTTTTAGTTATTTAATGTTGATGTTGTTCAAATGGGTAAATGTACAGAAAGAAAATTTTAGAGTAAACTTGGAACTTTGGATATAACTAGAAAAAACTAGATTATAGAATTAGTCGGTAACACTTGCTAATGGACATTGGCATTCATCTCCTTTTTCCTCCTAAGTGTATGTATGTGTTTTAAGATTTCTGTTTTTACGATTAAAACTGGAAACATGAGGTTTTTTGTTTTTGTTTTTTTACATAATTACATATATTCCTTCTGAATCATTTATCTTTTGAGAAAGAAATGTTACCTAAACTTCAAATGTGCTTTTTGTTTGTGAGGTAATTAAATTGCTTCTACAGTGGAGGCTTACAAAATTATTGTGACAACTATTTTGAAGCTGAAAGGATAGTTTTTCTATTGCTAAGTCATTTGAAAAAGTGACCATTTTGCCAGTGAAATGAAGTGGAAGTTAGTAGGAGAATCATAAATTAAATATATTATTTTGTTAATAAAAAGGCAAAGTAGTAGGTACTTTTTAAACCCTCCCAACCAGCCCTTTCTCAATATTCATCAAATCTAAAACATTTAGGGGGCAAAATTCTAACATGTTCATGGTATCTTGCAAATAGTGAAAGCTTTATTCTGAAGGATTATAAACTAGTTTTCTTCATTTTAACTAGCACTATTTTGTGGAAATTAGAAACCTCTTTTATTTCTCTTCCCAAAAGTAATACTTATTATAAGGCTGTAGTATCAGGTTAAGGATACAGATAAATAAAGTTCACTTATATCTTCTTACAAATGTCTGGGTTTTAATATGGTTAATCACTTATATACAAATATTACAACTTTTTAGTGCAAGTTTTTGGAAGAAAACTTTTTGATAAAACACTGTGATTGATGTGACTTTATTTTTAATTTAAACGATGAGGTGGCCAGAAGAAAGATGGGTCTAAAATTTCTCCCCATGAAAGATGTAAAACTATGGCTTTTTTTAAAATCAAAATTTCATCTTTTAAAATAATGGTTTGAAATACTGTATGGATCTGAACAGAATAATCACATTTAGGATTCTATATAAATCTCAACTGGAGTATAATCTGAAGGAAATTAGCAGTGTATTTTAAGAAATATATTTCAAAAATATAAATACTGATTATGAACTTCCTTTTACATTGTGGTTATTTGTGCGATTAGGTTTTTTTGTTTGTTTCTTTTGTGTTTGTTTGGCGGGAGAGGGTGACCTGGAAAGCCACAAGTGAGTATTTGACATATTCTGTATCCTTAATCCAATCATTTGGCAAACTAAAAGGTTTCTGTGTTGTAAGAATCTGATACTAGTGCTTAAGACTTTGGGAAGCATTGCACTGTTGTTTATTAGAACTTTATGTATATTTACTGTACATAGAGACTTGTTTGAAAACATGAATAGTCATTAAATAAAGACATTGTTAAATTAGTTTTTGAATACCAGTGATATTCATAACTACTTGACAGGTATATATGAAAATTCTACTATCGTGAAAAAAAATGAATATTTGTACTATTTTTGGCCATATTTATATTTATTTCTTTCATATGGTTTGAACTGTTTTAGCATTTTGTAAATTCACTTGAGAGTTTTCTTTCATACTGGTTAAAATATTTCAATGATATAATGAAGATGAATGCAACTCTTATTTTTCTGCCATTTTTTATTAAAATACATTGAAACTAAAGTAGGCTCGGGGTTAACTTTAAAAGTGATATTTGAGAAGTGCTTTAGAGTTGAAAGATTTAGTATTTTACCACGTGCCTAGTAGGGTTCTATTTGCTAACTCTAATATTGAGGAAACTATTAAGGTTTTCAGTAGTAAGTGTTGCTTCTAATAGCCATATACAGGAAAGTTTTATAAGATAACCCACGGCTAAATATTTTGCATTAAGGAGCTGTAGGAGTACAGTGTATAAGTACAGAAATTGAGAGAAATGTAGTCATTTTATATGTGAAAACATCTGATTTGAGTTTTTGATAAATACTGCTAAAACACAGTATATGAACAAGTAAGAAGTTTATGTATGAAAGTAATCAATGTAAAATATAAGAAAGGAATAAATGGTACCCATTTTGAATTTTTAATTCTAATAGGAGAGTAGATTGTAGATTGAATTGTCTTTCCTGTTTACTTGTTAATTAGAAAATGCATCCTTCATAAACAGCTCCTTTCTCAAATTTTTTGTATATTGTGTTTGTGTTTGGGTTTTAGTTTGTACCCGCGCTAAGTTTTGGTTTTGTTGTGTTTGGTGTTTTTTGTTTTGTTTTGTTTTGTTTTGTTTTTTCTTTTTTAACCAACCTGTGTATTAGGTGTTAGCCCCAATAGCCATGCATGAAATCTTTAAATAAAAGTTAAAAAAGTTCTTTAGAGGCATATTTCTGTAATAAGTTCATTGCTCTATGTTACCATCTTTGTCCTCGTATTTACTAAAGTGTGTGTGTATGTGCGTGTGTAACCTAGTTTATTTTAATTATCAAAATGTAATTAATGATTTGTGGGAATCAGAAACCTGTTTTCCTAAAACAAGACTGTAATATCAGATTGAGGATAGTTGGCATGTTGGCCACTGTAAAATTTTTTCCTTTTTTTTTTTTTTTTTTTTGGTGGTTGGGTTTTTTTCTTCCACTTTTAAGTTCAGGGGTGCATGTACAGGTTTGTTACACAGGTAATGTGCCATGGTGGTTTACTACACAAACCCATCACCTAGGTATTAAGCCCAGCATGCATTAACTATAATATTTTATTTTTGATTAACCATTTAATTCCCAATCATGAATTAACATTCTCCATAGTTATAAATTATCTTATCTCTGTAGCCCTAGCTGTTAAAACCCATTTTATATGTTTTTGCTATTACTTTGGCATAAGCCAAATTTTATATATTGGCTTTCAATTTGGAATTAACACATTTCATAAGGTATTTCTTAAGTTGACATTTAGTGTTTTTTACTTACTACTTTTTGTGAGCTACTTTGATTAGAAATGCCATTGCTTTGAATTGTTTATAATCACCTTGTGATGCATCACTTTGTTTCCTATTTCTGGCTTTTTAAATTGTATTTTTTAAACTATTTTTGACCAGGGTTTTTCTTTGATAATACACAGTTAGACTGGGTTGTTTTGTTCCCTTCTTGGTATCCCAATAAAAAAAATTCATGCATGAAACAGTCTTTGAGGGGTTTGCACAGTAAACCAACTTTCATCTGTTTTTAAAAATGCTTTTCTGTTTATATATTTCTGGGTTTTTTTTCTGTTATAGTCCAGTCATCTGCTTTTTTGTAAAGTACATATATACTTTGACTTGACACTTTGACTTGAGTAGTGTTAGGTTTTTATCAAGAGCTTGAAACCAAAATTGTTTACAAAAGTTTTGCCTTGTATTCCCTTAGGTATCATTTATTTTCTTGAACCTTCGTGACAGTTATGTTTATTTCAATTTAGAAGGATAAAACATGATTCAGTTTTGGGATATATCTTGTTTCATTTGCCTTTTAATAGCTGCTGTTTTTTCTGGCTGGTTGCTAATGAAGCTGATTGAAAGTGACCTTTTAGAGCAATGACCTTTTAGAGCAATAACTTTAAAATGTAATCTTCAAAACACGATTAATAGTTTTAGAGCCTCATTTCCTTATGTGCATAATATTGCTACATAGACATGATATGCAAGTTGTACAGTCTCAATTAAGAGAAATATCCCAGGGAAAACCTAATTGTAAAGTGACAGTTCTATCTAAAAGCCAAAGGTAGGATCTAGGTGACTGGGCCTTTCTTAAAAAACAACAACAACAAAAAGCTTCTTATTATGGAAAATTATACAAAAAATAGGACAGAATAATGAAATGGACCTCCATGTACTAGCTTCAGTTATCATCAGTTCCTGGTCAGTCTTATTCAATTTAGACCCCTACCTACATAATCCTTCTTGATATTATTTCATCTGTAAATAAATCAGTATATAGCTTTGAAAAATAAAAGACCTTTTTAGAAAGTAACCACAGTATCATTATTACACCAAAATTAATAATAATTCCCTAACATTCTGTCAAGTGAGCATTCAAATTTCTAATTGTATGTATTTTGCAGTTTTAATCAGGCTTTCCAAATATGATCCATTCATGTGATTGCTAGAAATAGCTTTTACTCTGTTTACCCCCACCCCATTTTCCCTTGCAATTTATTTCTTAAAGAAACTGCTTCATTTGTTCTAAATTTTTCCAGTTTAAATTCTGCCATTTGCATCCCACACACATGCCTCTGTATTTTCTGTAAATTGATAGTGAGATCTAGAGCCTTGGTTAGATTGAGGTTTAATTTGAGGGCAAGATTACATCACACATAAGTGGTGCTATGTCTTTCCATCAGAAAGTACATGCCTACTTTTTTGTGTGTGATATTAGCTGCCATTTGGTGCTCGATGCCTAGATCTATTAACCCTGTTCTTTTACCATATCATATACCTAGATGTCTGAATAATTGTCATGCTGCTTCCTATCAACTTTATCTATCATAACCTCACATCTTCTTCTGGTTTTTATTTCTCTTCTCCAGATCAGTAAAAACTCCTTTAAGTGTACCTCCCAGTTCAAAATTAGTCTGTACTCCTATTATACATGTGCTACTACAGCAGTTTGCTAACATGCATTATAAAATATTCAAAAATGGAAATTTTAGCTATCTGATAATATATTTAACATGTTAATTTTTTCTCACTAAAACTAAGACTTGGGGAAACAATATGATTGCATTTCATTTTAAAAGTTAACTTTTTTATTACTAAAACATTTTTGGTAAAACTACATGATTAAATGTTCTTCATGCATTTTTTATTTTCAATTTTATACTTTCTGATTCAGTGATTGAAAGGTCTGATATCATGGTCAGTGCATGTTGATATTTGGTTTTTAGATGTGATAACTAAAATGCCACCTCTCAAAAACAAATAGATTCAAATGGAAGAAGTAGATTGTTTGGATGTTAACAGTTTTCATCCCAACCACTATTTTTAGAGTTTATCTTTATGTTCTAGATATTTGGTTGTTCAATGTCTTGCTAATCAATAACTTCTCCTTCACATTAGCTACTGTTTCAGCACATTATAGGTTTAGTGTGAGGTTTATTGTTAATGAGTAAATGTAAATATATTTTAACTGGTCTGCTGATGCATTTGATCTTTTTTTTTTTGGTTGACTTGTTATATCTGGTTAGATTGCCATGCAAATTTTACTTCATACTGTAGCTAACTGATAAAATTTGTGTATTAAGAGTAAGATATTTGTATTGCCAGTTATTAGTACCAGTATTATTAGTCTTATGTGGGGTTTTTTTGCCAATTATTTGCAGGAATGATACTATGAATAAACTCTTATTAGTATATAACATGTAGATTAGCACTGATATCTCCACAGAGTCCATGTGTCTTAGTTATTTACCTGTTACATGGGACACTCATACAATTCTTCCTTTACATTTTTGACTACTGGTTAAATCTAGATAAGTTATTAGTTCACTCAGCTGAGCTCTCATAAATCGTGTCACAAGATGTGAAGGAACAACCAAGTGAAGGGCTGTCTACTTAATTTTCTTCTGGAACTGTCCCATTTCACTCTCCCCGTAGATACAGTGGGTGCTCTGTGTGGCAGGAAAACACCTGATACTTGGACAAGGGGAGTAACCAGTGCCAATCCATGTATTATATACTAGTAAACAGTTATTTTCATGAAATGTCTTTTTTAAAGATAAGTGGTAATATTTCTATACTTCCTGGATGACATATATTTCATGGATTCTTTCACTCTACTTTGGGGGATTTTGCTATTACCACGTAAAATTCATCCCTGCATTCCTGGCACTTAGCACAAGGCCTGACACATACTAGGTGCT
Organism: Homo sapiens; assembly: GCF_000001405.40. Taxonomy (NCBI): domain Eukaryota; kingdom Metazoa; phylum Chordata; class Mammalia; order Primates; family Hominidae; genus Homo; species Homo sapiens. Next base: position 111,141,068 of record NC_000003.12, read on the forward strand.
TGGGGTAATTTTTTGGATGAGGGGCTGAGGAGACTGACCTGATCCAAATAGAGCATCTTAATAAAAAAGTAGTGAGACATAAATGTTCATGTGGATATAAAAGCTAATAAGTCATATTGAGAAAATAAACATTAAAGGGGCTATTACAAATGAAGAATGGGATTATTTATGGGGGAAAATTGGTAATACAATAATATATAGTATGGGAGCAAATCAAAGGTGGGAAGATAACTTTGTAGGCCAACACATAAACCTGTGATGTCATCACTAAAGTTTTGTCAAAGGGCCTGAAGAGAAAAAAATAGGGCATGTCTCAGTTTTAGATGTGAATTAGGTGTACACATATGTTTCAATAGCTTTACTTTAAAAATTATTTGTTTTTGAATGATAAAAATACTTCAATTTATTATTTATAATATTTTTGTACTTTTTTCCAAAAAGTAATGAAAGTCATTTCTTATATTCATTTTTTATTAGTTGATAACTAGTTGATTTTTAAACATCTTCCCCATAAGACATGTGCATGCTATCTTTTAATTAGGTGTGTCAGTATACTCTTGTTGTGTTGGAGAATGCTCTTTTTCTATTTTTGGAGGTAAGTTTCCAGTGAATATGAGTTACCATTACTACTGTGATAACAGCAAGCTGGTCTTTTTTTAGAAATGCATGCACCACTCTTTTAGTGGTAATTATTTTATAAGTTTTGTCTTGTTTTCTGCCTCTTGTAAGCATATATTGCTCTTAATAGAACATCTCCTTAGGTCGATGGTAATGTTTCATGTCATTCACTCAGTAAACTACCTTAGTGTTTAAAAATGCCATGTTTATACATTTGGTCACTTAATTTTTTTCCTCTGTAGTGGTTTTATTGGGATATAGAGTCTATGAAGTATGTATATGTTTATTTGGGTTGGGAAAAGGGGGAAACAGTGTTGAGGCTAAATTCTCAATTTTCATCAAAATACTTGTCTATTTGGGCTGAGATATGTGCGAAACAGTGTTGGGGCTAAATTACCAATTTTCATCAAAATACTTGAATGCAAAAGATTCGAGCTCCTCCTTTGCTTTCATACTGGTTTTCATCAACTGTTAATACCCTTAAATTATTAACACCTTAAGTACTTACCTTTTTTCTCAATTAGAATCAGAAAAGAAAACATGAAATATATCCCATATGCTTATTTAGCATAATCATTTGACCTACATAAAGTAGATTATCTAGTGGGGAAATAGATTCATAGCTAGTTTTTCCTCCATTTGCTCATTTCAGCAGCTACCAGCCTATTCTAATACTACAAAGAGGTATGGGAGAAAGAGGATACATATGATAAAGAATGACTGGAACCAGGTGAAATGAAGATGTCCAAATTAAGATAGAAGGAAGTGTTGTGATATAGTCAACTCTCATAGAATCCTAGAGCTAGAAATTATAAGACTAGTGTGACAAAATTGGATAGATTGTAATTAAAATGTTTAAGAATATATATTTAGACAAGCATTACTTCAAGATATTAAAAATAGTGTCTATTTAAAGTTGGAAATTAAGAGATTAAAAGTCTACATTATGTGGTTTTATTACAGAGCACTACCAAACCTCAGATTATTGTTGAAGTTAAAGGCTTTCTTAGAGGAAATGTATAGTTTGATAAAAAATTTATAATGATCTCTAGATTGAGAATCTTAATTTAGCCCCACTCAAAGAGTAACATGAACTTTTCAAAAGTATTTTTGAAAAAAAACCTTTACGGTATTAACATTGTCATCAAAATAAGAACAAAAATTTAAATTCTGTACAGTTGGGCAAACATGATAGGTCTTCTTTAGCAAAAGAAAAATTTCCAAGAGAGGAAGACCTTTAGAATAATTGGTGTGGAGTAAATAACGTACTTGACAATTAGTATTTTTTATTTGTGCCACTGACTAGAGATGTATGACCTTGGTCAAATTGCATAACCTTAATAGTTTCAACTGGCCTACTATTAAGGATTGAGTAGGACCATCTACTTTATGGCTGTGTTCAGTGGTCAAAGTTATAATCTATATGGTGGGGAAAAGGATAATATAGATTATCCGTAAGTCATCCCAAATCTCTCTCACATTTACAAGTGCAGAATGATATTTGGCTGTACTGGGTTTCAATATTTTTTTTAATCTAGTACATATTCAAATGGAGATAGATTAGAAAATTGAGCAACAATAGATAAACCAGGCTGGTATTAGAAAATGAAGGTCACCATGAATGACAGAGTTATAATGTTTCAGAATCTATTCATTGGAAACGTTATTGAAATGAGTGACTTGGACTTACTGGTTGTAAGATTTTTATTTCAAAATGAGCTAAACAAAATGAGCCATTAATAAACTTAGGATTGTTAGTATTCTAAAGACATTTTTATAATTTGAAAGAAAGTAAAACATTCTTTTTGGCAATCTAAACTATGTTACCCACATTTAAACAAAAACAATTGGAAAATACTTATAAATATGTATTTATATGGGAATACTATCATGGTAAGTAGATGAAACATATTTCAAAACCAATAGTGCTAGTTCTGTAACTTTGCCGTGTCTGGGTCCCAACAATTATTGCAGTTATTTAAGAGTATATGTGAAGATTATGTCAATTTAAGTAAAACTGAGACCTCTTCATTAGTCGGCGTTATATATGTTAACAAAAACATTCTTCTCTTCCAACAAGGGGTAATAGTGGAGGCTTCTACCCTGCTCCAACCTAACTTTATTTCTCTCTGTGTTCTCTACTATTCATTGATTGAATGGTCTTGGCAGATTATTTAACTTCAGAGCTGCAATATCTTTATTTATAGAATATTATCTCAGTATCTTTTTTTATTGGTAAGAAAGACAAAAACAAAATCAGATGTGTGAAGGAACTTTGTAATTCACAAATTCCACAAAATGTAGTTACTGGATTTAATATAGCGAAATTGTCAAAGTAATACTTACACGTAAAGATTGTTTTGTTACATTCCTTAATACTTAACATTTGAAAATATGTAGTACTTGTAATAGTTTTAGTACATTCCCTTATTTGGGAGTTCATAAAATTGTAATTCAATTTTTTGGAAAAATGTGAAATGCTAACAGCCAAATATGTTTTTTAAATCCTTTCTTAAAAAATTGTGGTGCAGTGTGGGAAAGAGAAGTTGGTATTCAGAAATGACATATGTCTATGGCCAGGAGATAGGAAGAATTTCTATTTAAATGTTGTAGTAGAGAAGCTATTTTTAGTGCACTTTGTATTAAATGTGCATGAATTAAGGGAAATTTTGTGCAAGTCCTGTTTTAATATTAATATTTAAAAATATTTTTCAAATTTTACAGTGTCCAATGTCAATTTTTTTTGATCTGGGATATTTTCTGTTTTGCACTTGAAGTTTTTCAATTTTGTTAATAAATTTTTTTATTTTAATAGAATAAAAGTGCTAAATGTCTGTATTACTGGTCGTTTATATTAGAGAATATTGATTTTTAAAATTACCTTTTAGAGTACAAACTTAAAATTACTTTCATCTTTTTCTCTCTCTTCTTCTCCAGGTACTCTTTACATATCGAGAATATATTCTCTTGGTGATGTTTGGGGATATTTACATAATTTTTAAAAAGTTAAGCTGAGGTATTAAAGTAATATAAGAAAGAAGGAAGGGTTTTAGCATAATGCCACTAAACCTAATGAATGAAATTTGGGGTCCTCTAACCTGGCTCTTGGATAACATACTTCAGTCAAATAGTTTGCACATTGTAGAAAAGGTATGCAATTTCAAGAATTATTTTTAAGATTATTTGAAAAGCCTAATTTTTGTTACTTTACAGATGTTCCATTTAAGCAGACCTCTTCCATAGCTGTAGCTGGAGCGGTAATTGGAGCTGTTCTTGCCCTTTTCATCATTGCTATCTTTGTGACTGTGCTGCTGACTCCTCGAAAAAAAAGACCATCCTATCTTGACAAAGTGTAGGTAACTTTTTTGCCTTTGTTCAACTATGAATATCAGTATGTGTCCAATCTTTATGTTTACCTTTACAGCTCCTCATAAAGAACTTAAGGGATAGAAGTAAGGATAATGTTAGGCCTTTGTTAGATGACCGTGGTTTCATCAGAATATCTCAAACTATATCTTGCTAAATGAACATTTTCAAGGGGCTGCTAGAGGTATAGAACAGCTTTACATTTTTCACCTAGAGCATATTAGACATCTTTATAAAGGGTAACATAGTAATACTTTATATTGTCCTGCCTTCTGAATAGAAATGTAAGCCTTTCATGAAGTGGTAACCGAAGGACATATAAAAATATCTTTGAAGTTTTAATGGCTTCTTCATATTGTATATGCATGTCTTATGTATAGATATAACTGAACTATCAAGTTATTAAATACATTGAGTTTTAAAAATTTTTTCTTAAGAAAAATACTCTTTTTGGTGACTTATAAAATATACATCTTCTTATTTAAAGAATAAGCAATATTTTTGACCTAGTCATTGAGATAGAGTTGTAAGGCAGAAATTGCACCTTGCTGTAGAATCAGATGACCAGTGTCTCAGTTCTCTTAATTCTATCAACAGCTTTGTTGCTTCATCTGAGAAATATGAATAATGCTCTTCCTACTTACCTCACATGGTTGAGATGATAGTAGAATAAGATAATATTTTATAAACTGTGAAGCTCTTTACAAACGGCATTATTTCTTATGTGGTTTATTAATGTTTTTATGTTGGGACATAAGGTTGACTTTCAAAGAATATAGTTCTGTCTTCATAAATGCTTTGTATATGTCTTTGCTTCTCTAATTTGGCACAATTATAGCACTAGTCTTTGCATCAAAGACATTTGTGTGTCAGTTACAGCTCTGTCATGATCAAATTAGTACTATGACCATGAACAAGTACTTTATCTCAATGAGCCTCATTTTTTTCACCTAAATGGCCTATGGCACCTTGGAGCTAGAAATTTGCTGTGATTTTCGTTGGATTAGAAAAAACAATTATTTTAAATAAAAGATGATAAAATGCTCTTTCAGTATAATACTTGTGGGACTGGAGTGCTTCAGTCTTTCAAGAGTGACTAGCGGCCGAGCGCGGTGGCTCACGCCTGTAATCCCAGCACTTTGGGAGGCCGAGGCGGGCGGATCACGAGGTCAGGAGATCGAGACCATCCCGGCTAAAACGGTGAAACCCCGTCTCTACTAAAAATACAAAAAATTAGCCGGGCGTAGTGGCGGGCGCCTGTAGTCCCAGCTACTTGGGAGGCTGAGGCAGGAGAATGGCGTGAACCCGGGAGGCGGAGCTTGCAGTGAGCGGAGATCCCGCCACTGCACTCCAGCCTGGGCGACAGAGCGAGACTCCGTCTCAAAAAAAAAAAAAAAAAAAGAGTGACTAGCATGTGGTTAACTTAATTCCCAGATTATCTTGGTTTTTCTATAATTTCAAAAACAATTTACTGGTAGGTTAACAAATTAATGTAACCATTTTATTTATCACTTAAGTTTTAATCATTTAAAATACTAGTTTATGCTCATTGAGACATTATTAGACCACAGAGAATTTATTACTTCAGGATCTATAGCTTTCATTCCCTTTATCCTTTAATACAGATAACTTTTTGATTTTCTAAGCACAAGTACTGAAAATGTTATCTGTGATCTTCAAAAGCATGAGACTATATTTATAAAATTTTGTAAAATGCAGAGAGCTATAAGGTATATTAAAACTATCTTTGTTATAAGTAAACTATATTTAAAATATATGAAAATGTTGATTTTCTGATAGCTCATGTAACTTTGGAAAAAATAAATGTGTTCCCTAAAAATGTAATGGTTATTTTGTTTATTTCAGATGGCAAGATTTATAATGGTCTGTACGTTGAAAATATAATTGGTGAATATTGTAATAGTGACTAGAGCTTTTGAAAATCAATTTTGGAAGTATTTCTAAAATACAGTGTAAACATTTCTCATGACACTTTGGAGGAAAGTGTATTGAGACTCTAAAATGTTGATAGACATAGTCAAATATTAAAACATGCACTAAAGTAAAGTCATATACTGGATTACTTAATTTCAATTCTTCTATTTTAATTCCTTCTTTAAATGTGATTGGTTCTCCATATGGCAACCTTTAACACCAATGTTTACTTTTATTTTTGATCTTTGATAGATTAATGGCAATGTAAGAACTGAATTAAGCAGGTAGGCTAGAGTAAATATTATCTATATAATATGAGGAAAATATTCTCAAAACTTATGAGAACCTTGATTTTCTTTTGCTTTTTTTTTTTTTCCTAAATGTGACAATCACATATTTTAACCTTTGCAATGCAGGATTGACCTTCCACCCACACATAAACCACCTCCTCTGTATGAAGAACGATCCCCACCTTTGCCTCAGAAAGACCTATTTCAGGTATGTGTTCATGAGTACACTTAAGATAATGTAAGATACAATTTAAAAAATACTAAGCCATTTGTATTATTTCTTTCAAAATGTTGTTTAGTCATTATGCATTAAGTGTTGTTTAGTCATTATGCATTAAATGTTGTTTAGTCATTATGCATTAAAGATTACATAGCAATACCTAAGTTTTAACATGCTCAGTCATTTCTCTGAAACATTTAAGAGATCAAATTTTGTCAACAAACAAGAAGTTATGGCCAGTATAGATAAGACAAATCAACATTATATTAGGCTTTTTACTAAATACTTGTTGAAGACTTACTGTTAATACAGTTTTATTGACATACAGATTTATTGTAAAATAAAAAGTAGAAAATGAATATCTGTTGAGTAGCATGAAGGGCTTCTTTTCCTTGGAGTGTACTATATTTTATTCTATTTTGGAATCAGTTCACGTTAATTCATGTGAAAGTATTGATTCAGTGCTTCTATCTTGTATTCTATACCTGGATTAATGTGCTGTATTTGGTATTTGGGAAAGTTGTAAACTATCAGAATATTTGAATTCTTTGATTCTCAAGTTTAGTGGTTGTGTTTGTATGTTTGTTTTGTCTTTTTCTCTATCACCCATACAACATGTTGGATCTCTAAGCTGTACTGGGGTTGTATAACCTCTGGGGGCATAGTCTATAATACTTTCCTCCTAAAATATGTCCTGTATCTTCAGCCTGAATAAGGCAAATCATTAGCCCATCAATTCATTGATTTAATTTGGTGGAAAAATTCTAAAGGAATGTTTCTGCCAAGATGTTCTCAGCTTTTGTTCTTCAGCTGACCATATAGTCAGTTTACTGTCCAAGAATGGGGCAGGAAGGAGCATTCCCTGGCACATGGGCCCACTGTCAGTGGGCACTAGCTTTGTCATCTTACACAGTTAGGTGTCCTGATGGTGAAGATGTGCCATGTTTTCAGACCTTTTGTTCTCACATAAAGAGTGTAGTCTCATCTCTTGGCAAATAAATGAAATTGACAAGTGGTGTGAAATGTCATAAAATTCTTAGCTGGAGCTGTTGTTGTATTTTGTTTTGTTTTGGTTTTGGTCTGGATTTGTTTTTTTTGCCTGTTAGATAACTGAAAAAGTAGCTCATTAAAATGTTTTGTAGATTCCTGGATGAAGTTGATCTGCTTTTCATGATCGATTGGTTATAGGTATTAATAGTTCTGTAAATTATCTTTTTGTATCATTTTTCAGATTTTTGGTTTCTTTTTGAACTTTGCTTCTTAGTTTTTTAGGAACTCTTTGATGTGGATAGTAATCTTTTGTATTATATTCATCTCTTATTTTTTAACCTTATAGTATCATATAGAAAATTGTACGTTTTTATGTAGTAAAAATCTGTTTGTCTCTTTGCTTGTATTTGTTGGAAGTTCTGTATTGTCTGAAATGGCTTCCTTACATTTCCTTCTCTCTCCTTGAACTAGAATGTAGAAAAAAGTCTTAGAAAACTAATAGTTTTATGGTTTATATTTCATTTTAATCTGAAACTTTATTAAACTTGATAAAGAGGTAGAGACCCATTTTTCCCAATGGGATAACCAGTTGTCCAAATACTTCTGAATTACCTATACTTTTGCATGGTTTGAGAGCACTTTTATCCTAAAATAAATTCTCATACATATTAGGTCTGTTTCTGAACTCTTAATTCTGTTGTATTGCTATGTCTTTCTCTTCCTAAACCAAGATACTGCTGTTTCAATTACTATTGCTTTATAATATGATTTGATATTCAGTAAATTCCCTTATCTCTGTTCTTCTTTCAAAATTTTTCTTGACTTTTCTTTTCTCTGTCTACTTCAGAATTACCTTCCCAGATTCCATAAAAATTCTATTGAACTCCTGAATTAATTTAGTAAGAATTGACAACTTTACAATAATGTCATTTCTTCCCATCTAGAAACCAGATAAGCCTCTATTCTGGTAGGATGTGTGTGTGTGTGTGTGTGTGTGTGTGTGTGTGTGTGTGTGTGTGTGTAGAATCTCTTTTCTGGTACGTATTTTCCACATTCCTGTTAGGTTTACTTTAGGCATTTTGATAGTCACTGGGATTTCTCTCCACCCTCCTCCCATGGACTTTTTAAATTGGCTATTAGCATATAGAAATGCCTGTTTAAAAATATGAATCTTATATGCAGCCTCTTTTATCAAATTTTTTATTCATTCTAATGCTTTCTCATTTTATTTTTTTTTTTACATTTCTTAGGAATATAATCTATTTGCTGCAAATGACAGTTCTCCTTTTTATCCCTTGCATATTGTGATTTTTCAGGGGAATACATGTGAGGGGCTTCCTTATGTCATTCAGTTTTAAATCTGATATGAAATAATTGAAGACTAGTATAGAATTTCCTTGCATTAAAATTTTTGAAAACACTGCATTCTATGAATAATGCTATTTTTTAGCCTTGATTTGGAAGAATTAAAAACATTGTGAAAACTATTTTCCAAACCAATTAAAATGATCTAGGGAACTTTTTTAGGAAAACATATATAGTATTTTGAATATAGTTGGATTTCCGATATGGAAAAATCTGAAAGAAAATGTAAGTCTTTTAGAATATTCTGTGTTTCAGCTAAAATAGTATTTAATCTTAGAAATCATGATCAGGAGATTCCGTGAAATGGATATTTATTTGACTCTACTGAGAATGATAATAGTAATTTCAGTCTAGCAGCAATATTATGGGGAATGAGGCTTTTGAAGTTATTTTTACAGTGCTGACATATCATGTTAATAAAAGCTTTTCAATCGCTTGAACTATCAAGAGATTTTCTCTCCTGATACCTATTTTCACAGTAGTTATCTGTCAGATGATTTTTGGTAAATTTTTAATTTTTAACAATCCTAAAACCGTTTTATGAACAGTATTTCATGTATAAGAACACATGTCAGTTTTCATGACTTAAGACATTTGGTTTATATATACACAAATATGTATATTTGTGTATGTGTGTGTAATTTTTCTATGTGATGAAATGTAATATATGCATAAAGTACTTGTATGAATGACACAGAATATAAAAAGCTTATTGGTGTGTTTTTAGGTTCCACATAGCAGCTAACCTTAAGAAACTACCACTTGTAACATTTTAGTTTAGTATTGCAGAAGTATTTTTCTAATTATCTGAAGACTATTCAAATAGTCTCCCTTTTCCAACTAATGTATTTGCGTGAAGCTTTTTTTTTTCTTTATATACTTCAACTAAACAACATATTACGGTAGACTGAATGCTGTAGCAGACATGAAAATCAAACTTTCCTCTTTTGACCCAGATATTAAAAGGTTTATAAAATTTAGGAGATACTGTTTATATTAACCTGTAATAGGTTTCCTATTCTTTTTAAATGAATTAAATTTTTTAAAACTCTTAGTTTAAATGAATAACATGATAAATATAGATAGCTGTTATTCCTGTAAGTGAAAGTGCTTGGGGTCCTCAAGATGTAAAAGATCATAAAGGGGTCGTGGGGCCAAAAATTTGAGAACTGCTGTTGTAAACTGTAAGCAGTATGAAGGCAGGGGTCATGTCACTATTGTTTAGTACCATATTCTTAGTGCATAACACAGTGCTTGGCACATATAAGTACCTGATAATTTTTTTAATTTGACAGATCAAAATTGTATATTTTTATGATATACAGCATGCAGCGTGATGTTTTAATATATGTGGAATAACTAAATCAAGCAAATAAACATATGCATTACCTTATGTATTCCGATAAACAGGTTTTGAATGAGTAGGTAAAGGAATCAAGCCCTTTTTTATATTCTCTTCAGTTTATAATCTGTTAAAATTTCTGCATCATTTATAATATCCATATCACAGATACTATATTTCAGTATATTTAATGTCAGTGTCTATAATATCACTGTATCAAGTATGAGATATCAATATATAATGTATGAAAAAGAACAGAGAAAAAGAGACTATAGAAATATTTTTAAATGTTAGCAGTTATCTTTGTAATAGACTTCTCAGTGAATATTATTTTTGTTATATTTTCTGTAGTTTCTGTTTTTTCTGCAGTGCCTTTCCCCACCTCTGTAAGTAGCCTTTTAGCATAAGAAAATAGAGATCTATTGAACACCTGAGTCACTGGCCTGGAATGTTAAGCTGGTCATACTGGTTATGCAGTGTGTCAGCACTGTTAACTATCTGAGAAAACTGAATTTCTTTCCAATAATTTACTATAGTATATTGCATTCTTTAGTAAATGTTTGTAAATATTCATGACAGTGTTAGTAGAGAAAGAATGTTTTTACATTTTTTTAGTGTATGGATAATACATACAAAACAATATAAAGAGGTGTTTTCTAAGGTCTCATTCCTATACCTATTTACCCTACCCCCATCTACAGATAACCACTTTTATTAATTTATGTCTTGGCACTGTTTCTTTAAGCATAGACAAGAAAACACACACACACACACACTCAGGTGCATTTTAATTTATTTCCCCCCTGTATAAAAGTAATATATACATATACCTTGTTACATATCTTGCCATTTTCTCCTAAAATATACTGGAGATCTTTTATTATTGAGATGCAGAGAGCATTCTCAATCTTTTTTATGTCTACGTAGTATTGTAATGCGTGTATATTACATAGTTTGTAATGTCAAAAGATTTTAATAAACCAATAATGCTGTAATGAATTGCCTGGTATATATGCTCTTTTGTATGTATGCAAGTATAATCTGCAGGGTAAATTTTTAAATTTTATCTTGCTACATCAAACAGTAAATGTATTTATAGTTTTGATAGATATTGCCAAATAATCCTCTGTAAGAATTGTACTATTTTGCACTTCTACCAATAATATATAAAAATACCTGTTTCTCCACAACCTCACCAATAGTATGTATATGTATACCACTTGATTATTGCTAATCTGATAGGAATGGCATGTACATATGATTGTAATTTTGCAATCTTTTGGTGGGTTTCTCCATCTTTTCAAGTGTTTAAAAAGCCATTTTTTCCTGCAAATTGTTATTCTTTTGTCTTTTTATTTATTGGACAAAATTGTGATGAACCTCTAAACGTTTTATAAGTAGATGTGAAAATATTTTGTTTTGATTCCAGCATGAATTTTATGTGCATTGCTCCATGGTATCCAAATCTGTGGCCAAAACAGTTTAGTAAGATGAATCATGTATCTCCACTGGTTTATGTTATAAGAAGATTTAGAAAAGCAAAACAATTATGATTGGAGCTCAAATGTTGCTAAACTTTGTGGTTTTAAGGATATAAGTTCAAGAGAAAAGTCTCTCCAGGTATTCAGTTACAATCAGGCCATATTTCATTTAAACCTTTCTTGAACCCATCATTATATCTTTTTAAAAGTCATTTTTGTAATACATCATTGCCATCTTCCAATAATAATTTTTAGGTAGGCTGCTTTTGTTAGTAATCATTGATGGTCTTATTTTCTCCCAGGATCTGAATATTTTAACATGTTTCCAGACACTACGAGTAGTTATGATCTTTGGGATTAGGGAAGGGAGAGAGGAATATGATAGAAGAGTTAACATTTTTTTCCAAATTATAGAGAAGTATATGACTGAGTGGATTATTCAAATAAGGATTGAGTATTTCTAGCATGGTTCTCCCCTTGAGTAGAAAAATGTTTTCGTCTTTTATATTGCCTTCAGTTAGTAAGTAGTGGCAATTATTGAGACAAGTAGTGAAAGAATTGTGGGGCTTTATTCTGCTCTGAGGTGGAAAAAAAATTTTGTGATCAACAAAGCTTGGATAAAATAATGATTTATAAACTAATTTTAGTTGGGGAGGGCCCTTCAAAGCAAAAAGAAATATTAAAAATCTAAATATCTAAAAATATTTGTCAAGAATCATAAAATTAAAGGAGATACAGATGTAACATGTGAAGTATAAAAGTTTGATGTCTTCATCATATCAAAGCTTTTGCTATCTGTCTTATAAATGAGAAAAAGATAAGCTTGTTTTATAATGTTTTATAGGGATTAATCAACTAATATATGCTACATCCTTAGAATAGTGCCTGACACAGTAATTACTGTGCATTTGCTGTTATTGTTATTTAAAAAGCTGTATAATTCCTGATAAAAATATTAAAGATGCTAAGCAGTGAAATTATTTCAGTAGAAAAACAAAGCTGATGCTACTTTGATTTATTTAAACTTAGCATATATTTCTTTTAGAAGTATCCATACCTTTATTATAAGCTTAGTAGTGCTTGAAATGAAACTAGAATATATGGAGTCTACACTGTTTGATTCATAGTAGTGTTTAGTTTTTTTTCTTTGTCATTCATTTATCAAATAACTATTTCTTGAATATTTAATATGTGCTAGCACTGAGAATATGTAGTTAATAAAAGATGAAAAAAATTGTCTGTGGAGCTTACATTTTAGTGATGAATGGGCAGTACCTGTGATGACAGCTTTCTTCCTTTTTTAAGAAGAGCTTTATTAAAGTATTAATTAGCACACAGTAAACTGCACATATTAAGAATGTAAATTTGATATGTTTTACATGTACTGCGCACACACACAAATATACTTGGCAAATATCACCACGATCAAAATATTGTACATATCCGTCATTTCCAAAAGTCCTAGTGTCCCTTTGTAATCTCCCCCCTCTAGTCCTTTACCAGCTTCTCTTTCATATCCTTGGGAAACTAACCACTGATCTGCTTTCTGTCATGTATTAGTTTACATATTCTCAAATTTTACACAAATTTTATACAATATGTTCTCTCTCTTGGTCTTTCTTCTTTCACTCTACATAGTGATTTTGAGATTCATTCATGTTGTGTTGATCAGTAGTTCATTCCCTTTACGTAGCTATAATATACTGCATTTTGTTTATATATTTATCTGTTGATGCACATTTTTGTTTCCAGTTTGGGACTATTACAAACAAAGTTGCTATGAACATTTATATACAAGTCTCTGTGTAAATATATGCTTTCATTTTTCTTGGGTAAACACCTAGGAGTAGAATGAATGGATCATATGGTAAGTATGTGTTTAACTTTCTAAGAAAATGCCAAACTGTGATCCTAAATGGTTTTACCATTTATGTTCCTATGAGCCAAGTGAGTTGCTTCATACCCTTACCAACACTTATGGTCAGACATTAAAAATTTTAGATATTCTAATAGTTGTGTGGTTGTGTTTTATTTAGGTTTAAATCTGCAGTTTTCCTAGTTACTAATATGTAGAACATTTTTTCATTTGCTGGTTTGTCATCAGTTTATATTCTTTGGTGAAATATCTGTTCAGATTTTTCATTTTTTATTGGATCGTTTTCTTATTGAAGAGTTTTGAGAGTTCTTTATATATTTTAGATACAAGTCCTTTGTCAGCTATATAATTAGATATTTTCTCCCATTCTTTTGCTTGTCATTCTCTTTAACAGTGACTTTTTTTTGAAACAAGTCTTGCTCTGTTGCCAGACTGGAGTGCAGTGGGTGCAATCTTGGCTCACTGCAACCTCCTACTCCCAGGTTCAAGCGATTCTCCTGCCTCAGCCTCCCAAGTAGCTGGGACTACAGGTGCGCACCACCAGGCCCAGCTAATTTTTGTATTTTTAGGAGAGACGGGGTTTCACCATGTTGGCCAGGATAGTCTTGATCTCTTGACTTCTTGATCCGCCTGCCTCGGCCTCCCAAAAGTGCTGGGATTACAGGCGTGAGCCGCCACGCCCAGCCAACAGTGACTTTTGAGAAAATCTTAATTTTGATGATGTTCAGATTATATGATAACAATGTAGTGCCATGCTTTTATCTCTGGAATGGGGGCGTGGAGGATCTATTTTTCTTAGTTGTCATTTTATTTAATCAAGACTTGATTGATTCATGAGTAAACAGAAATAAGGAACCATTGAAGTTTAATGTGGTAAGCCAAGCACAATGAAATTGCCTCGCAATTTCAGAGCACCTGGTAGCTTTCTATATAAAAGCACGATGTTTATGTGTTGGGAGCAATTCCTTTGTAAATACAAAAAAGTCTGGACAGAGAGCTGAACTATTATAAATGTTTAGAACAAAGCAACTAAATTGTTGTCAGAGAATGGACATATTATTTGTGAATTAAATTTTAAATAGCCAGTATCAATCTAATTTAACTTTGAATTTGGCCATTTAGTGTTGATTTTATTCTGCATAGATGGTTTTGTTGAAGTTCTTTTGATATGTTAAAAATAGAAAATTGGTCTATATATGGACTTTTGAGAGAATAAAAATTAGGCTAAATTAAGGCTGCCCTAAATGGAGAGTTACCCAAGGTAGGTATCTTCATATTGTGACATGAGCAATGCCAGTGAGACCTCAGTCCCTGCCTTACTTCCCAGGATTACAGATTAATAATATCTGTTACTACCTATTTACATGAAAATACTAGTGGGGAGACTTATCTCAGGCTATTGATACCCTCCTTATATATTAGCACAGTAATCTTATATCCTAGAATGTCCAGGATTGTCCTGATTTCACATATTTATGTCCTTGTGCCAGTATGTATTTAAGCCCATGTAGCCTGACGTTGAGTTGCTGAATAATCATGGTGTTATATTAACTCCTGTGATAGTGTTTCCACTGAAAACATGACTTTCTTTTAGACTTTTATCTCAAATCACCAGCCTTCACTGGTGCTTAAAGCTCTCTAAGATACTTCTCTAGTACTCTGGAAGTGTCTTAGAACAAATTTGTTGAATACTTAGCACACTTTTGTTTTTGAATCTATTCAGATGCCTTAAATAAAATGAAATTAGAATTAAAATTTTTTGTTAAAGTAAAATTTTCATTTAGAAACATCTTAAGTTTGAAGACATGTTAGAATGAATTAATTTAAATGTTTTTAAAGAGGCCATTGGTTAAAAAAAGACCATAACTCTTTAAAATGCTACAGTTTTCAAATAAGTTAGAAATACTAGATTAAATTCAACATACATTTTGGTTTAGAAAGATTTAAAATGCCAAAAATTAAGAAATTTTTTAAAATAATTGAATAAATGGAAAAACATTCAAAAGGATTTGTTTCGGGCAAAGTAGTCATGACCACGGTTTATTCTTGATTGAGTTGACCTTATCTGAAGCCACCAAATTATTCCATTTTCTCTTATGAGAATGGGTATCTTTAACCCAGTTTGCCTTGGCAACCTGTCAGATAACTTTCCACAGTTACCAAGCTACCATAGTTCAAATTCCTGTTCCTAGGCATGATAATAGACACAGTTACCTCTCTCTTTCCCCACAGACATGTTTTCACCACTGGCTAACTCTGGTTGTGGCATGATTCCAAATTTATTTTGCTGATTTCTTAGAACATATTTTCAAACCAAGATGTTCATCCACTTAGGTTTTTGTATAATAACATCCCATTATTTGATTTATTGGTATATGTTAATTGGGAATGTGTTCGGGGCAAGCAGTTAGCCAGTTGGTAACTCCATCTTTTTAAATACATATATCACTTGCTACTTGGGAATCTTATTCTGAGAAATAAGCCCCACAATGACATATGTTTATTCTTGGGCATGTAAATTAAAATGTTAATCTTCAAATTCAGACTAAACAGCATTTTATTATTGAAAAATTAGTAAGACCCACTGTTTTAGGTGAGGGGACCTATCTGGAGTGGTACTTTAGTTTCAGTCATTGATACTGCTTTACAAATATTTTTCAAAACGCATTAGGCCTGTTAAAATCATTTTCGTATTTACTAATGTGTCACAACTTACTTTCCTTACCTTTGATTAATAGCAAAATACATATGTTACACATTCATATTCAGGATCATTCTTTATGATGAGTTTCCATGACAACCAAACAAAAAACTTAGAACTTAAAATACATTAAGTTCTTTTAGGTCTACTTCTGGTTTTTCAAGAGATCCAGCTTGAGTTCATTTAACATTTCTATGACTACATAGTTGGTCTGTTTTTTTCCACAGAGCCAAACTCCATGATGATTTCTTATTGTTCCATTGATTGGGGAATGTAGTTTTTCTTTGTAATTTTAAAAAACAGAATTTGAACTGCAAGATGAAGGTCACAAGAAGATAGACTAGAATACTCAGTGTAAAGATGATGTTTCCAATAATTAGGTTTGTCTCATAGTGGGGCTGATACCTTGCAAAGTAATACTGACATTGTGTATTGGACTTAGCTGTTGTCTGTTCTTGTAGGTTATAGGAAGCATTTCTGCATTGGGAATAAAGTTAAGTTTTAAGGCCTCTTCCAGTTCTACATCTTGACTCCTTTTTTTCCCCTGGGAAAATAATATAGATAGTAAATTGAAAAGTAACATTGGTATTACTTGAGACCAATGTTCTACATAGATATCTTCATGTGATTCTTAGTGTAACATTTAACTATACAGTTGATTAATTAGCTAATGGGTTATTATAAAAGCACACACAGTAGAGTAACCAACACTATTCTGTAGATGTTTTTGAATTTCATTTTAAGAACTGTTGCCAATCCACATAACATTGAATTTAAAAAACAGTAAACAAAAATTACTTCAAATTTTTTTTGCTTTAAGAACAAGATTTTCTTCTTGAAAATGTGAATTAAACATTGTCTTATGGTTGCTTTACAATTATGACTGTTTGACAGCTCACATAGATACTAGAAGCTTAAAATGCACTTTGAATGATATCTTTACAGTAGCTTTAACCACAATGAATATTAGATGAGATATAAAACTTGCTATTGGTGGAATATTTCTTATATATAAGTAACTTTAGAAGAATGAGATTCGTTAAAGGCCTTTAAAAGGAAATGCTTAGCTTTATGACGATTCCTAGTTTAAATTCATTGGCACTTTACGGAAGGTAATAATCTCAATTTCAGATGTTTGGTGGGCAGTAATTCTTTAGACTATCAATCCTGTTTATGAAAAGAAATGGCATGTAAATGTATTTGTTTGAAACCTTTCAAATGCCTTATTATTGATATATATGTTCCCATGGAAACCACAAATACCTTTTTAGAAAAATGATGTAAAATAGTAGCTTTACTTTTAAGTAGAACCTGAGAAATTGCAGACGATATTTAAGAAAAGGTAGTTACAAAGTTGAATAATTTTACTATGGTTATTTCCCATTGAGATATGAACTGCATGTATGATTGTTAAACCATGTGTGCATGTTCACACACAAACACACACACACAAATTAATTGTACCAGAACATAAAAGCATAAAACATAAAGTGATAAGTCAGACTTCATTAAAAACAATAGGTCTTTGAAAGACACCATTAAGAAAGCAAAGGCAAACCACAGACGCAAACAAAATTTGCAACAGCTGTATCAGACAAAAGACTTGCTTCCAGAATATATGAAGAAGTCTTACAACTCAATAGGAAGACAACCCAGTTTTTTAAAATGAGCATATTTATTTAGACTTTTTGTCAAAATGTACTAATGGCCAATAAGCACATGAAAAGATACTCAACATTACTAGTCAACAGGTAAATACAAGTTAAACCACAATGAATTGCCACTGCACATCCATTAGATTTGCTGACATTAAGACTGACTGAATTAATTATTGATATTACAATTAATAGCTTCCAGTTTATCTTTTGTAAGTCTATTTTTATATTTGCTTAGTTTACATAACAATTTATACTTAATTTTATTATTTTCTATTTTTGCTCTAGTAGATTTATATTTTATTGTTTTCTATTCTTATGTCCCAAAATACTGCATGTAATTATAAGTCCAAACACCAATATTGTCCTGAGGGAATATTCCTTTACTTCCACTCCCATTATAGTTCTTGTATACAGAGATTTATAATGAATATGGTTTTTGGCTCACAAAAAGTGACTCAAGTTTGTAGTTTTATTTTAAAGTCCTCTGCAACTGAGTAATCCTATCCTTAATGGTAATTTTCCGTAATGAACTAACTGGAATTAATTAAGTAATCCACTATATAGTTTTTTTTGTTTGTTTTTTATTTTATTTTATTTTTTTAAGTGAGGAATGTGATATTATGAGTTACCTAACTTGACAAGGGAGAGAGTTGTCAGGGCAGCACATGGCAAGTGTGAGTCATTGACCTGGAGTTGAAAACACCATTTGAGGTCTCAAAGCTCAGTCTTCTACTCAAGGCGAAATTTCCTCCAACATCATTCCTAAAATGTCATCATCTAGCTTTCAGCTTAAAACACTTCGATTAACAATTTTACTACCTCACAAGACATTATATTTCTTTTTTGGTAAGCCAAATTGCTAGCAAATTAGAAATCTACCTTCCTTTCAACTTAATTAGCCCTGATTATGATCTCTGTAATTTTTAAAAATCTCTTAAGCATTTTAAGCTACATTTATTAAGAACATAAATTTTTTAACCCATTTTTTATACATACCTTAAATGCTTGCAACAATCCTTCAGGAATTGTTTGATAGCCTTTCAAATATTTAAAGTTCTCTGACTTGCTCTCACTGTTTTCTTTAAACCAGCTTGAGTACTCCCATTGTTTTTAACCATTCCTTATATAATGTAGTTTATCTCCGCTCACTGGTCCCTCTATTTCATTGAACTCTAATATTCCTTATGAAATATGTTGTTTGGAACAAAACAGAATACTCCATGGTGGTAAGTGCCAAATGAATTTATAACCTTCTCTTTTCTAATCCCTGTACTTCTGTTAAAATTGTCTGCTTCCATTTCTGCATGTACGTATATATATTTCACAGCTAGCTACCTTCTTAATATCTTAAAATCCCTGTCAATTCAGACATCTTCCATACAGATATATTCATTTTGTTAACCCAATTGTGTTTCTCTCCCTTAAATTTAACCTTTCTTTTAGATTAATGTTCCTTTATTGCCAGTTTTTTTTTACAGTCAAGATTCATAAATTTTGATGTTTCTAGTGCCCTGAACTGATGTGAAAAATGGGAAACCAAAGTGATAAGACTCAAAACAATAGTAAAAGGAAATAGCCAAACCCAGTTGGATTGGATTATCAAAATCAGTTATAAGACAGTATCTTGCTATTTTTACCGATATTTCATATCAACTCTTTTTTACATGATTTTTTTTAACTTTATGTATTTTTCACACTGTATAGATTTTTTTTCTTTTTGCAACCAAAGTGATGATCATATATTTTCCAATTTTAAAAATTATTTCTGATGGAAAAATTGGAACTAATGGGAGAATAAAATAGAATGGAGTTTAGGGGCTGGGCGCAGTGGCTAACGCCTGTAATCCCAGCACTTTGGGAGGCTGAGGCAGGCGGATCACGAGGTCGGGAGATCGAGACCATCGTGGCTAACACGGTGAAACCCTGTATCTACTAAAAATACAAAAACTTAGCCGGGTGTGTTGGTGGGCAGCTGTAGTCCCAGCTACTTGGGAGGCTGAGGCAGGAGAATGGCGTGAACCCAGGAGGCAGAGCTTGCAGTGAGCCGAGGTTGCGCCACTGCACTCCAGCCTGGACGACAGAACGAGACTCCGTCTCAAAAAAAATGGATCGAGTTTAGGGAAGATAAGTTTTGGAAACAGAATTAGAGAATGAATATATCTCTAGTAATCTTGAAAGTAAGAATAAGTGTGAGGATATGGAGTAAAAGTAGAGTAGGGAGAAATGTTAGATATATGTGAGCTTCTGAAGCTTTTCAAACACAACCTGGAGACATAAGGCATATTATACTAATGAGGTAATTAGAGTTTCAAACAGAAATTGCTCTCTCAGGGTTAGTCTGGCACCACATCCACCTTGTTTCTGGTGGTTAAATGCTGCCACTTGGCCTTTGTCACCACAAAGTACCATTTATTTAATTTAGCCCACTGCCATGGTTGGGCCTACAGAGAATAGCCACCAGTGAGTTCTCAAGGATGCCAGATCTCCCCTCATGAATATATTTCACACAGAATTGGTAAAGGGAAGGTTCTCAAGACCTTCTGGAGCAGGGGTCCCCAACCCCCACGTCACAGACCAGTATTGGTCTGTGGCTTGTTAGGAACCAGGCCACACAGCAGCAGGTGAGCAGCAGGGGAGTCAGCATTACCGCCTAAGCTCCACCTCCTGTCAGATCAGCAGTGGCATTAGATTCTCATAGGAGCACAAACTCTGCTGTGAACTGCGCATGCAAGGGATCTAGGTTGCATGCTCCTTGTGGAACAGTTTCATCCCAAAACCATCCCCTGTACCCTGCTCCATGGAAAAAATCGTCTTCCATGAAAGCCATCCCTCGTTCCAAAAAGATTGGTGACTACTGTTCTGGGGGACAAAGTTAACAGGTGATTAAACAGATCTTACATAAGAGAAATCCACCTTAGCATTTTATCTCCTTAAGCATTTGGATTGTTTCTTCTACAGTATATCAAGGAAGTTCTAGAATTTCACCTTCATTTAGTGTAGTCCACCTTTGGGCCTGGATTTCCGTCAGCCAGCCAACCTGTTACAGCCACTACCAGCCACTCTAATACATTGAATCGAGAATCGCAACTTAGCAGATCTGTATACACACATTTTAAGTCAACATTATGATCCTTCCATTCTGATCCCAACCCCTTAGGATCCCTTTCCTTGTAGATTCTTAAGGTTTATATCTCTAATTTGGCAATATCTTTGCAGGGTTTTCTTGGGGGGTGGGTCACGCTTTGTGATTTAACCTCTGGGTTACATAGACCTTGAAAATTAAACACTGCCTTTAAAAAAAAATCTCAGTCATAGTTAAAAGGAAATAGTTGGCACTTATATCATTGATATGGTTTGGCAGTGTCCCCACCCAAATCTCATCTTGAGTTGTAGTTCCCATAATCCCCACATCATGGGAAGGACCTGGTGGGAGGTAACTGAATCATGGGGGCAGGTTTCCCCATGCTGCTGTTCTTGTGGTAGTAAGTTCTCATGAGACCTGATGGTGTTATAAGGGGCTTTTCCCCCTTTTGCTAATGTGAAGAAGGATGTGTTTGCTTCCCTTTCTGCCATGATTATAAGTTTCTCGAGACCTCACCAGCCATGTGGAACTGTGAGTCAATTAAACCTCTTTCCTTTATAAATTACGCAGTCTCAGGCAGTCCTTTATAGCAGTGTGAGAATGGACTAATGCAATCAAACTGCCTAGAAGTCTCAGATAAATTCACCAATTCATTATATATATAATTTTGTATACAGAACCACAGCCAACAGTGTTGTTAAACTTTCCCCTACCATATAATAAGGATTCCCTTTCTCTCAGCTTCCATTAATATTTTCCTGATCTTCCTTTAAGCTTTTACCAACAGCCTCCTTGAAAGCCATCAAGCTTCTTCTGTTAGCTGTCTCTTCAAGGCCCTTCCAACATCTGCCCGTAGCCTGGCCTTAAAGCTATTGCCACATGTTTTAGGTTTTGTTATAACAGCACTCTACTTCCAGGTGTAAAAATCTTTTGGCTTTCTATTGCTGTATAGCAACCTAAATTTAGTGGCTTTAATGAACAGCAGCCATTCTATTACTCTCTCTTATGATTCTGAAGTTGACAGGGTACTTTATGAGAAGCCCTGGGCAGCTTAGGGTTTCTCACAAAGTTACAGTCAGATGGTGGCTGGGGCTGTAGTCATCTGAATGCTCACTCACTTGTTTGGTTCCTGGGATAACAAAACACAAACAGATGGGGGCTGGAACAGTTTACACTACCACTGCCCAAGGATCTCTTTCTTCATAGTGTTTCTACATGGTCTCTCCAGCATGGTAGCTTCCTACTAGCTAGACTTCTTACATGGTAGCTCAGGACTCCTGAGGTGCATGTTCCCAGAGAGAGAGGCAAGTGAAAGCTGTGTTACCATAAGATCACTTCCACCATACTTCAATAGTTGAAGCAACTACAAAGGCCCACTCATAAGGCAAGGTTATGTAAACTCCAGTTCTTAATGGGGGAGTGGCAGTATTCTGGAAAGTCTGTGTGACTAGAAATAATGCTGTAGCAGTTTTTGGAAAATACAATCTTTGCTCTCTGTGTGTTGTCATATATCCAGAATGTTTTGAAACATGAAAATAAAAAACTAAAATGCTGGGTAAATATCAATAGAGGTCAGCAAATCTTTGCAAGGTTTGTAATGTCACTTTATAATTCATTTACCTTATATTTGCATTGGATTGTTATATGTCATTGGATGGTCATAACATCTGCTGACCAATGAAAGACTGAAAGTAAAATTTTAATGCTAATAGGAAAGAATTAATTAAGGAAGGCTATGAGAGGGAAGATTCATTTTATAGGTGGTTAATACATTAATATTTTTATGTCACAATGATTTTTTTTCTTTATGCATTGTCATGACTGCAGTTACTTGGATAAATAATATTTGGAGAAAGAGGATTTCCTAATTTTTATATATGGATAGATCAGATCTATAAAGTAAATGCAGAATTCAGAATCAAGAAAAGATTTCCCAGTGACAAGGTGAAACAAGTAACAGCTGGGAATACTGTCAAAGTAAATCTGAAAAAAAAAAAAAAAGTCAAATAAGAAACAAGAATTACTATTTGTGATACCAAAAGGAAACTTAAGTACAAAAGAAAAGTACCAAATGTGCGAAGTATTTGTATTTCATAATTGATATATTGACAATCAAATGTTTGTGAAATTTTTAACTAGAATTAAGATTTGAAAGTTAGCAAAATGCCATAGTTTTAAGAGCCAGTTTTTGTAAATCTTTACCTTGTATCCATTTGTCATCTTTTAAAAGTCTGGTTACCAAGATATATCATTTATATCAAATTTAAATGTTTAATTTACTCAAATATAATTATATTTGTTAAATATTTAGAGGCTTCACGTTGAAGCTGTCTCCCATGTGGAATCTTTCAACTTTATTTCTCTCAACTGTAGACTATCATGTCCTGCCCTGGTTTTGCATAGTCAGCCTTCAAAGGGGGTTTCTTTCCTCATATTACTACCATTAGCAAATACTGTGACTGAAATATATTACCATATGTTATATATTTCCACACTGCCTTAACAAAGTACCAAAAACTGGGTGACTTAAAACAACAGAAATTTATTGTCTCACAATTCTGGAGGCAGAAATCCCAAATCAAGGTGTTGGCAAGGTGTCCAAGGTCCTGGGGGGAAATCTTTTCCATGCCTCTCTTCTAGCTTCCGTTGGTTGCTGGGAATCCTTGGCATTCCCTGGCTTATAATCTTTACATGGTGTTCTTCCTCTCTATAACTACATTTTCTTTTTCTTACAAGAACACCAATCGTTGGACTAGGGTCCACCCAAATCAGCATGACCTCATTTTAACTTGATGACATTGGCAAAAATTCCCTGTTTCTAAATAAGGCCACATTCACAGGTACCCAGGATTAGAATTTAGACATAACTTTTTTGAGGACACAGTTCAACACACACCACCATGTAACTCAGGCACTAGACTTAACGCCAAAGGCAAGTTGAAATGACAAGACATTTCATGCCTGTTTCATCTTTTATTGTCAAAATTTTACTATTGAATACAGCTAAGCTTAACTTTAATCAGAATGCAGATGTTTTTTATTTTTTTATTTTTTATTTATTTATTTATTTTTTGAGACAGAGTCTCGCTCTGTCGCCCAGGCTGGAGTGCCACTCAGTCTCAGCTCACTGCAAGCTCCGCCTCCCAGGTTCACACCATTCTCCTGCCTCAGCCTCCCGAGTAGCTGGGACTACAGGTGCCCGCCACCATGCCCAGCTAATTTTTTGTATTTTTAGTAGATACAGGGTTTCACTGTGTTAGCCAGGATGGTCTCGATCTCCTGACCTCGTGATCCGCCCACCTCGGCCTCCCAAAGTGCTGGGATTACAGGCATGAGCCACCGTGCCCGGCCAGATTTTTTTTTAAAGCATTCTTTTTGCTGTCCACATTATGGTACCTGAACTGATGAAATTCTTCAGCCAAAAGTTGTTCACATGACATGTTAGATCTTTACTACTTAGAGAATGAGATGGATTTCTTCAAAATGACTTTCCTGAAAGAACCAGAATATGTATGAGTAGAGAAAATCTTTTAAGGAAATGTAAGGAGAAGATTGAAACTGCCCCATACTGCCGGAGTACGGTATGGAATTGACAGACTAGCCATTGACAAAGCACAAAGGAAGTCTTTTTAGTTCTGATTTTCCCAGAGGGCAAACTTGGATGTTCACCCTGCCTGTAAAACTTAAAAAGCCGTCACAGATAAGTAACTTGGCTACTTTGCATGAGCATCACTATTCCATAAGCTTATATTAGTTGCACAATGGGAGGCTATAGTTATAGAATAATGAATTAGTAATTATTAAGATACTCTACTTCAAGAATAATATTTGGGAAATTGCCTGGTCTGAATTGTAGCCAAATATGAATAAAATAAGTAAAAGAGAGATAGCTGAATTCCAGCTGTAATTCAGAAACCAGTAACCTAAACTCATTCTTCAAAAAAGTTTTCCTGAGCTGCTAAATGTGGCAAAATTAGGTGCTTCTTGTATCAGTCAGGATAGGCTTGGTTATGCTGCAAGAAACCAACAATCCTCAAATTTCAGGGATTTAAAACAACAAGTTGATTGCTACATGCCCGAGGTCTGCTGCAAGTTTTGGTGATGCTCCTGGGTAGCTTCTCTCCATTTGCCAATTTAGAGTTGCAGTTTCATGTCAACACATGCTTCCACAGTCACCAGAATGGGCAAAGGAAGGCTGGAGAATTGACCCCCAGCAATTAAATACTTGAAGCTTCAAGTGCTATCTTGCTTTCTCCCATTCTATTAGCTCAAGCACGTCACATAACTTCAAGGGGGATGGGTTATATAATCCTCCCAAGTACCTAGAAAGAGGGGAACAACATACCAGTGAACAATGTTATGTCCACCATGCTCCTTTTCTGATCCCTGTCCACTTTCTTGTGACATGATACACAACCGAAGAAAACAATGAGCAGCAAGGAAATTGAATAATGCCCAAACTAAACTCATAATTATCTACCTAATTCCTTTGTAGAACCTGCAGAAGTCTCAGATAGGACCCTGAGTTTAGGGAAATAGTTAAGACTAGGAAATCAGCCCAAGATAAATGACTTTCTTATATTATCCTGTTTTCTGTGCCTACTTGATGTTTATCTAATTTGAGATCTGGGATCAATCTAGATTAAGGTCTGCCATTAAGAGACAGAACTCCTGGGTGCAGCATGAATATGGATTCTTAGATGTGTATAAATATTGGCTTTGATAGTCTTGAGTGAAATGATATTCGCTTGACAGTAATGATCGAAAGCTTTGGGTCCATTCTCTTTGGCTATATCACAAGCCTTAGTAATCTTTCTGTTTAGAATTTTTATCACTAAAACTATATACTATGTATATGTGAATACATGTAATGTAGGAATAATATATAAGTAGTAAATAGTGTTTATAATATTTAATAAAGATAGGTAGGTAGGTAGGTAGGTAGATAGATTTGAACCCATAAGTGACTGAACCAGATGTAAATGTAGGTGATTCACCCATTTGAGCTAAGTGATTTTTGCATTTTGTAGCCACATTCACTTTGTAAAATTGAATGTCAGTTAGAAGTGAATTTTTGCACACGTAGGTGATTCACCCATTTGAGCTAAGTGACTTTTGCATTTTGTAGCCACATTCACTTTGTAAAATTGAACATCAATTAGAAGTGAATTTTTGCAATGAGTCAAAAGATATTTAAAGAGATAACTCTACATCTGGAGATATTTCTGCAGCTGGGAAATAGTTCAAGAATAAAGACTAGCAGACTAGTTGGTTAGTACTATTTTAAGAAAGGCATTAGAATCAGCATTTTTAGCTGGAAGGGACCTCAGAAAGCACATTATCTAACCCCTTTTCCTCTTTTAAGTACATAATTACTATCTGAAACAACATGCAATTTATTCTAATATTGAGAGTTGTAATAAAACACTAGCTGTTCCTGAGTAAAAAGGCCTATGCTAGCCATAAATAGAAGGATGAAGTGAGTTCCTCTTAAAAACTGACCTATTCTTTATATTTGTTGTTATAATCACAAAAAGAAACAATAAAAGCTCAATTTTTTATATTGAGTATAAAAGCTGGTGCATTGTAGATACGACTTAGAGTAGGTTGATGAAGATGGTGAAAATAATTCTGTGAGTTATGGGAAATAATGAGAGACTATGCTGGGGATTGGTAGGTAAATGGGTATTAGAACCTTTGGAGGTGAGTGGTCTCCTTTGCTGGTGGTATTTTGTGTCTCCCTATGTATAAACTTTATATACACATCTGCTCCAGGGTGAGCAGAGAGGCCACAGACATCAGTGTACGTAACTTGTCATTGGGAAAAATCCCCCTTTTCACAACAAAAAGATTAGGACAGCATTATAATC
Source organism: Homo sapiens (assembly GCF_000001405.40). Taxonomy (NCBI): domain Eukaryota; kingdom Metazoa; phylum Chordata; class Mammalia; order Primates; family Hominidae; genus Homo; species Homo sapiens. The sequence goes on from NC_000003.12 coordinate 111,167,862, forward strand.
TTAGGCAACTCACTTTTTTTTTCTTTTTTGGACATTATGTACCAGCTTCTGTGTTAGGCACTCCATACAGGTAACACTTGGGACTAGAAGTGTTTTGGATTTCAGATTTTTTTATTTCAGACTTCAGAATATTTGTGTTGTGCTTAACCAGTTGAGCATCCCTAATCTGAAAATCTGAAACGCTCCAAAAAGCATTTTCTTTGAGTGTCACATCAGTGCTTGAAAAGTTTAGAATTTTGGAGCATTTCAGATATTCAGATTAGTGATACTCAACTTGTAGTAACCTTGGATGAACAGCCAGATAAGGGGAAAAAATAACATACAAAGAGCTATGGTAATACAGAGGAGAAGATAGAGTCATTAATTCTAGTTAGGAATCTGCGAAGGCTTTGCAAAGAGAGAGAGTAATTTGAAGTAGGTTTTTAAAATAGGAAGAATTTTAGTAGGCAGAGAAGAAGCAGAAGATATTCCCATGAAGAGCAAATAGGTGATCAGAGACAGGAAGACAAGAATAAGCTAGATATGTTCATACACACATACATACACAGACTTTCTACCCCCGTTTCCCTTTTATATCTTATTACTAACATATATGTGTGTGCATATATATATATCTGTATACACACATATATATATAAATGTTTTTCTATCCTATTAGAATACAGTAGGACAGGGATTTTTTTGTCAGCACTGCCCTGTCTTAAGCATCTACAAAAGTGTCTGGCAAATGGTTGGTGCTCAAATATTTATTGAGTGGATTAATCAATCAAAGGTGTTTGAGAAGGGCAGTGACATCATCTTATACTTTGGGAGGACAATTCACAAGCTGCTATGAGGATAATTTGCAGAAGCAGATTCTGGGCAAAGGAAAGTTCAGAGACTACCGAAAGAATACAGGTTTTCAAAGCTAATCACAATCGAGGATAGGAGCATGCCTTAATTATTTGAATCCTCTACTGCTGCCTTTTAGCATATGTCTGGCACACATTAGGCATTCAGTACATTGATGGATAGATCGTTAGATCTGCATTTATTAAAAATCTATATCATTTAGCTCTAAATTCTATAGTCCTCCCTATATTACCTTGTACTGGGGTTTTGGATTACTAGAATAATGATTAGGGAAAAGAAAACATATACTTTTCTTTATTCACAAAGAAAGGAAATCCTAGGACAAATGTAGCTTATCTTATACTAGTATATCAGGACTATTCAAACTTTTTTTTTTTTTTTTTTTTTTTTTTTTGAGACGGAGTCTCGCTCTGTCGCCCAGGCTGGAGTGCAGTGGCGCAATCTTGGCTTACTGCAAGCTCCACCTCGTGGGTTCACGCCATTCTCCTGCCTCAGCCTCCCGAGTAGCTGGGACTACAGGCGCCTGCCACCACGCCTGGCTAATTTTTTGTAATTTTTATTAGAGACGGGGTTTCACCATGTTAGCCAGGATGGTCTCGATCTCCTGACCTCGTGATCTGCCCGTCTCAGCCTCCCAAAGTGCTGGGATTACAAACGCAAACTTTTTTTTTTTTTTTTTTTTTTAAGAGCACAGTTGGATATTCAAGATGCTTGATGTTTTAAATCAAAATTTGACATCAAGCATAATACAACATGATATTGGGATATTGTCAATAAATATTTTTGCCTGTTAAATTATGCTCAAGGATAAGTAAAATGCACTGTCATAGAAAATTAATAGATTATAAGCACAGTTACTAGAGCACATTTTAAAGTTGTTGATGATTATTCCATTCACTTCCATGGTCTAATGTGAAGATGTCCTTTCTCCATTAAAACACTCAGCGGCAAGTACATTCTATTTATCTCCTAACTAACTCCTGGAAAGATGCCTAAAATCTCAAACTAAGAATTAGGGCAACAGTGTTATATTCAGCTGTAGTAATGAAATTGCAAATATAAATATTAATGCATATGGAAGCATACCAATCAGATGAATCCCTTAGAAGTGAAAACTCATGGATACATAGATTTTAATTTTGATGGTTATTGCTAATAAATTTATACTTTGTACCAATGTACACTGCCACTGATAGCATATGAGAGGAAAGTATGTTCTTTAGTTATTAGCTAGCTTGACATTTAACAAAACCATTGCTATGCTACTAAGTGATATACTGGCCAGTTGAAAATGTTCTTGTGTGCCCCCCTTTGTCTCTATCCAAAGTGTGAGCTCTTATCCACTGATGTATTGGATAAATTTGGCTGTTTATATATTAAGTGAAATCCTCTTTAAACTTTTATTCTTCCTTCCCATATTTAATATTGAAGCATAAATCTCCGGCTGTGTTCTTCTTTATTAGGCATGAAGATGAAGAAAAGTGAAAGGTAGAGGGGGACAGTAAGTGAGGGTAGGATGGAATTAGGTTGGCGATAAAAAGTTAAAGCTTTTATTGAATTACTATATTGTGAATAATAGCTATTATTTATTGAGTGCTACTTATATGGTAGGCATTGTTACAAGCACTTTACATGAACTGTGTCATTTAATCCTTACAGTCAACCCCTCAGGTAGAAATTACTGTTTTCTCCCTTCTGTCAGTGAGGAAACTGAGGCTTTGAGGGGTATTAAGGAAAAAAAACATTCAGTGATACTTTTATTAAAGCACAGTGAGGCAAACTTTATTCAGGACCATAGAAATAGGTATAGGGAGTCTTGTAATAGGGGAGAAAGACTGGGCTTAATTCTGAATACAGCATATGCAAGTGGGCATTTATAGCAAAGGAGCAGAGTAGGGGTCAGTGGATGAAAAATTACTAAGAGGAAGCATCAGAGGTAAGGGGAACTTCTGGCTAAACCAACATAACAGGATTCCTGTTGAAGACAGGGCAGTGTGATCAGACATTACCTGGGAGGTAGTGGAGGATGAAGCACCTGATGAGCTATCTGGGATGATCATATATTGAGGGTGGGAGATTCTTGCTAAACTAACTTAGCAGGGATTGCTAAAACACAGATTTTATGAGGAAGTGGACAGATGGGCCTTGAAGAAGGTTCAGAAGACTCAAGTTTGGCCAAGCAAGGAATCTTTGTCAAGGATTAAGTAATTTTACCAGGGTCATCTTTAATATACAGCTTCTGAATTTGGGTTCTTAACTTCTATTCCTTGCTGCCTACCAACCAAGAGAACATATGTCATTACTAATTAGAGCTTATATTTATTTAGCATTTTCTAAATGTGTGGCATTGTTGTAAGTTCTTTATACATATTACCTCATGAAATTCTCATAACAACGTTGTGAAGCACATGCCGTTATTATCTTCACCTTTAAGATGAGCATACTGAAGCTCAGAAAGTTAATCACTTCATTAGTGCCACCATCTATTTGAGGTAGAATTAGAACCTGTGCAGTCTAGCTCAAGAGCCTACAATGGGTTTCAAGTACTGAAAAGATCACTGGCCTACCAGTCAAGGAGCATGGATTTGGATTTGTGTCCCAGCTCCATCATGAGTGAACCCTTGGGGGAAATCCTTTCACCTCAACTCTGTTTCCTCATGTAAAAGGAGGGCATTTGTTTCTCCATAGTCCTGAGGGACTACTTGCACTAACATTTTAGGTTCATCAATGAAAGGGGCTGAGCAAGTGTGCTACTTCTCATTCATCAGTTGTTGAGGATAACCTTAGACTTTAGTAGTTATGTTATTCCACAGCCTCTGGGATTGTACCCAGAAGATGCTCACCTTCTGCAATTTAATATACCATCATTTCCCAACACATCAGGTGCTTTTACATCTTTGTGGGACAAAGCTCCATACACCAGTGCATATTGACATTTGAAACCTATTTATAGAGATATTATATGACCCTACTGCACATGTGGGTGGGACCTCATAAAAAAAAAAACCTCTTCAAAACAGTTCAAAGATACACATGTCATCTCCTGGTAAGTTAAAAAAAAAAATTAAGTTACAATGTAAAGTTCACATATTTTCTTCGAACAATTCACTTCATTATCCAACTTGCCCTGCTAAAGGTCTGTTACACAGATTTGTAGCCAAGTACTTGAAGTAGATTATTTTCAACATTTTATGAAATAAAGAAACATTGAGGCATTTTTACTGACAAGAGTTACCTAAATATTCTGCATCTTCTTGTTTTGAACGATATGCAGATTCAACTAAAATGATATCTTAAAATAAAGAAATTGGATACTTTGTACTGTCACAACTCCTTTTTCTTATGGACACTTGCCATATTTTAAGACTTTTCTCCATGAGTTCTACAAGTAGATTTTTTAAGCCCTGTAATCTTAGTGCTTGTCGTTTTCCCTTGTATTTGTAGCAGCTGCTTCCTTTCATGATCCTCTTTCTTCCTTCTAACTTCCTCATTTTAGTGCCTCTCATCACCATCACTCCCCTACTTCCAGCTCCACATACACTCACGCATGTGCACACAAGCATACCCACACATCATATATTGTTCTGGGCACTTGTCACTTTGATGCATAAGGCTTAATGATACTATGTTAAGATATATATGAGGTGACATAAACATGTTTAGATCTTGGATGAGGAAGGATAGAAATAAAAATAATATCATTTCCATCTACTTTTACACATTTAAAGTGTCTAGAGTTGTCTTGGATTTTGTTTTACAGAACTTTGGATTAACTCAGATTCTTTATGTGCTCATTTTTTAAAAGCTTATATTTCTTCAAACCTTACTTAAATGTAAGATGGTATTGTGTTCAAAAATGATATTATTAATAGAAGGGAAGAAAAGGAAAGTGGGTCCTAAAGTTGAATTATTGAACATGCTAACAAATTAAACTTTCGTTCTTAATGGTGACATAATACTCATTATAGAATTCTCCACCCACAAATTGTTATCAGGTGAATATTTTTCCTATTGGCCTGTTTCCTTGATCTGCCATTTACCATGCATATTGGAGGCCTCAGTTTTCTATACACTTTATAGCACCTAGACTTATTTGTGAAATCCTGCACACGTTGTTCTAAGAACCTTTGTGTTCTACCCTATATTATCCAGTTTCCTCAGGTTTGAGCTAAACATGAGATTGCAGCAAATCATTCCAAGCTGCTTTGGATAAAAAGTGATAGAAGATTTTTTACAGCTTTTGAAGTCACTTATATCCGGTATGATCTTTCCATTTTTTCCTCCAAGCAACTTTCATACAAATGCCACATTCATTTAGAAACAGGGCTACAATCAAAAGTAAACAACTGTGCCTTTTTCTTTAATACACAGATGGTGCATATTCTCTTTGATGTGTTACCCTTTCTGGGTCTGTTAGGAAAACATGACTCCTATTCCAAGATCATGTCACTCCCCTTTAATACAAGATGCTTCATCTCTGTGAACAAGGAAGATCTATTTCTGAACCTGCATCTGCTCCACATCTTTACAAGACCAGTGATCTTTTCCTCCAGGTGATAACATTTAGCCCCTCCCATTTTCTTACATCTCATTATCAAGACATGAACAGCTTCCACCTCTTCTGGATCTTTTACCTGTAATCATACGTGATTTTTTCAGTCAAGATCCTCTGCAGGGGCTTATAAACTCTTACACATCTGTTTCAGTTCATGGCAGTCCTATACCTTCTGCTCCACCTCCCTGAACCTCACAATTGGTTCAATGTCTGTAATATGAGCTGCTCACTCACCACCCAGGGAATTTACAGTCTTTGTCCTCTCTTGAAGAACAATCACTTCTCCCTGTAGTCAGCCCCTGTAATACATTCCTTTCTTCAGTTGAGCTGGTATTCCTTTCTCCTTCTATTGTTGTTTTGAAAAATCTGTGTTCTGATTTCCTGGGTAGAATATGATCCTCCTCACTCTTAGACTCAGTGTATAGTAATAATCTCTTTTATTATCCACACGGCTATCCTTTCATAGACAAACAATATCCTTTTGTCTCACAAGCCTTTAGTAAAGTGTACAGCCTACATTTATTCTTATTCCTTCTCTTTTTTTTTGTACACCTGCAGCTTCTGCATACTTGATTACAGTCCATTGGTGTTTTTTGCATGGTTTTGTTTCCCCTTCTTCACTCCCTATTGTTGATAGTAAAATCCTGGATTCCCCTGGGCTTTGAGAACCTAGCTGTCATCATCATCATTATCATTATCGTCATCATCCAGATTAATGTTTCTCAAGTTCTGCTCTCACTGTATTGCTTTCACCTAGGATCTGGGTGGCTCTGTAGGCTTGGGACTCTCAGTCTAGCCCTATGTGATCTGACTCCACCATACCTAACCCAGTACTCCCAGTATGTTCAAGTGAGTTCTCCCATCCAACCAATAAAGTGTGAGTCCTCACTAATACTGGTTAACCTTTACCTCTTCACAGCTTATGTTGATTGCTCTAGCCTCTGAACCCCTGTCATTTCTGTAGTCTGTATTTTAAGTCTTCAGTATGTTATCTACAATTTCAAAAATCTCTAAGCAAATCAAGTTTTTCCTAACCCATTTTGCACTCAAATCTGAGCTGAACTACTGATTCTCACAGTGTTATTTATAATCATTTTTCTCACTTAATATGAACGTTCAATTTTCCACTGCGGATATATTGATGTGCTTGACCGTGGGGTTCTGTACCATATCCTGCAGGAGGTGCTTTATAAATATATGGAATATGTACCTATCACTTTTCTAAAATCAGAAAAATTCTGAATTCCAAAACACATCTGGTCCTAAGAGTTTCAGATGAGAGATTGTGGACTTGTAGTGATTTAGCCATTTAATAATATTAGGTCAGCAGGTAGTTACATGTCTACAGTGTGCTGGGTACTGAAACGGGAGGGTTCCTTGATCCCCCTTGCAGGACATACAGCAGGGTTGTGGCTTGCCTGTTCCATCGCCACTGCTGCTCAAACCACTGAGGTTTGGGGGGTGGGGGGTGGGGCGAGCATGCAGACAGACAGGTGCAAGAGCCCAGGTGTGCATGTGTTACAGTGTGCCCTTTTAGCCCTGCTGTCTGTAGACGGCTTGAGTGTTAACCAGCTCAGTGGACCCTCTGCCTTTCTGCAAGGGCAGAAGGCCAGTGTGACAACTTTCTGTATCCTGAGCTCTTGTCCAGTGTCCCGGTAGAATTGGGTCACACACGGACTCAGTGGATGAGTGTGGACTTGAAGGATGAATGCAGGATTTCAGTGAGTGGTGGAGGTGGCTCTCAGTGGGATGGATGGGGAGCTGGCAGCGGGGATGGAGTGGGAAGATGATCTTCCCCTGGAGCCTGGCCATCCAGCTGCCAAACTCCTCTTCCACCACCTCCAGCCAAACTCCTCTCAGTGTTCAAATGTTGCTCCTCTTCTCTATTTCTCTGTCACATTGTTCCGCCATCCATCTGCTTGTCCCCTCCTCTCCTTGCCTGCTGGTCAGCTTTTGGAGCCTGGGGTTTTGGTTTATATGGGTACAGGATAGTGGGCACGGTGGGCCAAAAGGCAACTTCTTGGGCATGAAAACAGGAATGTTGTCCCCATTTAGGGCCGCTGGTCTCCAGGCTTGAGGGTGGGACCTTTGCCAGGCAACCACCCTCTTCTACCCAGTGTCTTCTGTTTGTATCAGTACCATGGGAGATAAAGACAAGTAAAAGCATAGAAAGGCCTCCCACTTGTGTTCAAATTGCCTCGCTTTGTTGTTTAACTGTTTGAATGACAAGCCACATGAAACAAGATTATAAATTCCTGGAGGACAGGGCCCATACATTCTTTCACAAGTAGATATTACTTAGGATGAGATTATTTCAGAACATCAAATTATTAATTTTCAGTCCATTCACCTCTGTAGAGCTCAGTTCTCATAGACACAGAACCACAATTCTCATCAGATTTCAAACTAGATATTGCAAACATGATGACATTTCTCACTGTGTTTTAACTAACTTCCTGGGACCGAGGGAAGAGCTGCTTCTGCTTCAGTAACAGCCTCTGATGGCTCCCAAGGAGGTCTCCATAAGTATTACCAATTCCAGCCAGGGTCACCCAGAGGGTGGGGCCATCCAATTTGTTCAGGGAGTAGGTAAAATAATGTTTTTAACTGTTAAATGTTTTTTTGCATTGGTATTTTAAAAAATTTATTTCCTCTACTATTTTTCCAAAAGTCTACATTTAGTTATTTGTTACAGTGAAAATGTTCCTATCTTAACAGAGTGATTCCTTTCACTATCAGGTCAAGAAATGTCATCCTGCAATGACATTTACCAATTCCACACTAAGTAGATGGCCTGTTATTTGTAGTTATTAGCCTGTTTTAGGGGCCAGAAGAAAATACCCAAACTCTATTTGGCCATATGAATTACGTGTACATGAAGAGAAAATAGTTTTCACTGTTCTTGCCTCATGGAGTAGCATCTAAGTCAGTATCACTATGTAAAAATTAAATAGTGACACTGTAGGGTGCATTGAAAACAAGAAAAATCCTTGACTCATTTTATTAATCATGCAACCTACCTTCACTGGAAGGATTCTCCAGCTTTTGTATTATCTGCTTCACTTTCCTTTTAAAGTCACTGGTGCTGTGAACTTTCATTCTAATCACTGATGCTCTCTGGCTCTCCTAAACTCATAAACTGAGTTCTAGCTCAAGCTGCCTCTGTGCAGGTCACTTAAAACTTTAGTGTCTTTGTGGGGGGAAATGCCAAATTGAGACTACAGTTACTTCTCAATTCAAATAAAACTGCATTCTTTGGGTTTTATATTTAAAAAATTGGTGTTCCTGAAAGTTAATATTAACTTTCCATAGCAGACAGTTTCTCTTTGTATTTTACCTTCTTAACCATTATTAGGTTATTTTCCTTCAGAAGGAGAAACTATATATGTTACCTTTATTTTCTTTTTTTTTTCTTCTGGGAAAATGTTGAAAAATATCATTCAATTAAATTTAAGATCCCCCCAAAAATACATGTAAAAATATGTTCAAGAGATAACTTAGAAGGCTTCTAGAAAGTAACCATTAGGTAAATGGATAGAGACCCTTTTGTATTTCATTTTCTACATTTCTATTACACCCTCAGTAGGAAAAATAGATTGTTGGTAAGGGAAATTATTTCTGTATTGTCTCATCTTTCAATAGGAAGGAATATAAGGGAACTGGCATTCTTCACTTAGTATATAGCCTGTTGTTTTAGGAACTAAAATACATTCCGTATTGAAGATTTTAGGCGGCCTTTTCTGTTTTAATTTTTACTCTTATTTTTGCAAAGAATGGCATAAATTATTAACCACTTAGAAAATCTTAACAGAGTGTCTTTTTCTAGTTCTTTGAGTTAAGGGTCAACAGTTAGCTTTGAAATTACTTATGGTTATTTCAAAAAGACATAAAAATTAAGTTTTTAAAAAGAAGAACTGAGTTAATGTATGAAATAAGGTGGCATTTCTAAGGAGGCCCACATTTATCTATACCCTTACCTTTTTATTCATTTATTATTTAAAAATATTTATCTAATTTTTCTCTAATCGATATTTATTATACATGTAGATAAGGAAGACAGCAAGAAGGAACTTAGATGCTAGATTAAATATGAGATTTGGGAAGGCCCATATTAATGATCTCTAGAGAGGAATTCAATTTTGGTTCTTATTTTAGCATGTAAAATTTTGATCATTACAACATCTAGGCAGTACTGGAATGATTTTTGGCATAGCTTCTCTGAGAACACATCTTTTAAGATGTGTATTTTTTAAGATACTGTGTAGTATGATGATAGGTGATTTTCTCTACTTGATGGCTTTGTGACAATACTGTGCTTGATACAGAAAAGACAGCTACCATCTTTGAGGGTGTTCGGGTGTGTTGATGAAACTAAGGTTTACCTTATGGGAAAATTTGGAGATAAAATGGTATGAGTGGGTAAATAGGTACAGCATTAGGGCATCGCATTGAAAAGCAGAGATGCCCCTTGTGAAAATGACAGCATGGTTTTCTGGTGTTAAAATGTGTAGGCATTTATTAGTTATGGAAAACAGTGCATATGTGCATTTGTACCCCAGAAATGGTTAGGATTTATGATTAAGAGCATCTTGGAATTATATTTGGATATCATTTGCCTGCAAATAATTCATCACCTTTACCATCTATCTGCTTTAATTAGGTACTTTGCTTTGCATATGTATTAAAATTTAGGTAAAGTATCACTTTCTTGTGTATTTTAATATGAGAATTAAGCAAGACCATAAACCAAAATAAGAAATTTCATTAAAATGTGTCGTATCACATTTCGCTTTGAAAAATTAAAACCTAGAATGTATACTCAGTAGAAGTAATGAAATTTATTTACCAGTGATAACAAGAAACACTGCCTTCCTTTTGGTTAAGACAGCATTTTCAACAACTAAGCTGTTACAACTCTGTGGTTGACTTCAGAAAAATTCAGTGCTACCTTGTGGGATAAAATATCCAATATTCTATCTTGCAAATAAACCTCATGATAGCAGCCTGTATTTGAAAAGTTAGCCATGAGGACTTTCTTTCTGTAGTCATTTCTTCTTTAACTGACTCATTACAATCTATAATATTACAAATTAGGGGACTAGACATTGCATTTTGAGGTACTGCACTATATCACTCTGAGTATAAACAGACACTCAAAAAGAGAGGGGAAATACCCTCCTCATAAATTTTTAAGGCATTATCCTACAACAAATGACCACTGTATGTTCAGCCCTGGGCTGGGGCAGAATGGGAAACTCTCAGAGTCTCATTACTGCTTAAGAAAAGCCTTGCCTTTGTTTTCCTCTAATTGAGGCTGGAGCTCAAGCAGGAGGTGAAGTAACTTAGACTCGTACGGATGACGATAAACCAGAGCATGTGGCAAAGCTCGCCAGTCTTGAGCATCACTGGTCTTTCTCCTCACTTATATGCCATCTGCCCTCTCAAATGTTCATTGTCTTCCCACTTTTTAGCCCCTTTCTGCAAGCAGTTTAAGAGACTGGATATACTCAAGATGGGAAGTTTTATGTGATGGTTTAAGGCACAGACTTTGGAGTTACATAAAGATGAATTTGAATCTTAGCTCTACATACTTGGAACCATTGCTCAATCATTCTAGGCCTCAGTTTCTTCATCTGTGATATGGGGACAGTGATATTGCCTCAAGGGCATAGTGTAAGACTATGAGTATAACCAAAGCATCTTAAACAGTGCTTGTCTTACTATAAATCTTGGCTGTAATAAAACTTGGCTATATAGCTACCTGCTATATGGATAAGGCAGGTAGTAAGGGAAGAATCTTTTGTCAGTCCTTATAAGTTGTAATTGTAGTTTTACCTAAGCTAAGCCTAATGCTGTCTGTTTTAATCATGTTGCCATTATTGAGCCAACTTTCATGTTCTCTTGCCTTCTTTCTTAAATGCTAGAACCTCTCCTCCAGTCTATCTAAGTCCCAAGGATCTAGAACGTCTTTTCACAGCATTCACTCCCTTCCCATGAACCATCTCAGACCTATCCCTGCCCTGTTCTTTGCAAGTAGTAATTCAGACCTCAAGATTTCCAGTCCAGCTGGCACAGGTTTCTCAACAAAGCTAGCACCCAAGATATCTGTGGGGACCTCTGACTAAAAGTGGGAGTCAGTTTCTATGCAATGATAGCTTTTCAGTAAGTGTTTACTGAGCACCTACTCTGATAGCAGCATGTGTGGTTTGGGAGAAATCTGTCATTCTCTTAGTGGGTTAACAGGAAAGGATTTATGGGATGTAATACACAGACAGAAGACATTGGGACAGAGGAACTATAAGCAAATAAATCTCAAGTCTTGGGGAATAAGATCTAGGCAAACTGGCTGGGCGCGGTGGCTCACACCTGTAATCCCAGCACTTTGGGAGGCCGAGATGGGCAGATCACGAGGTCAGGAGATCGAGACCATCCTGGCTAACACGGTGAAACCCCGTCTCTACTAAAAATACAAAAAATTAGCTGAGTGTGGCGGCGGGACCTGTAGTCCAAGCTACTCGGAAGGCTGAGGCAGAAGAATGGTGTGAACCTGGGAGACAGCTTGCAGTGAGCCGAGGTCACACCACTGCACTCCAGCCTGGGTGACAGAGCAAGACTCTGTCTCAAAAAAAAAAAAAAAGATCCAGGCAGACTTTACACATTTAACTTGTATAATATGTGATGGCAGTCTGCACTGATCACAACTGATTGTAGATATTAGAGAACTAATAATTAACTTAAAAATTAACAGACAAAATTTCAAATTTAAAAGAAAAAAGTTGATTAATAATACAGCAACCCCATTGACATTCACAGAGAATACTTCATAGAATTTTGAGAAACCCTGCATTACTAAATACCCCTATCTTTTATAAAACTCATATATAAGAGTTGAGAATAAAAGACACCTTGAGAAATGGATATAGCTAAATGATTAGCCTCATATTGAAAACCTTCCAGGTCTTGATTCCAATTTATGTCTCAACAAAATTATAAATTACTACCTGTCATAAACCTTTTAAGCTTACTCATGAATGCTTGGAACCAGCAATGTTAAATCTGTGAATACTAAGGGTCTGCTAAAATAATGAGAGACATTCATATGACTAGCGTACGCATATGTGTAATTATCTTGGAGAACAGTAACAATTATGTATCTCATTAAACAACTGCCTAATTAACGTTGTTGTAAATTTTGCCTGATTAGTGTACAATCTTTATAGTTGCTGATCCTGAAACAAAGTCGACCTCTCTCATAACTATTTAAAAAAGTGAAAGAGAAATCAATCTTTGGTTCACAGTTTTAATAATATTATATTAATTCTTTTAGAGAGGTACTTAATAGATATGAGTGTAATATCCTATATGCCTTGAAGAATCCATATTTTGTGAATTATATGTGGTGGCCAGTTCTTTATGTGTTGCTCCTTTAGTGTGGAGAAATCATCTCTCTAGATTAGGAACTCAGTCATCCAAATAAGCAATTGGATACTTTTTAACGGAGAAACTTCTGCATCAGGGACAGTCTGTTGTAAAGTATTTATTAAGAATTTAATATGTACTTTTTTCGTAGCAGATTCCAGACTATGTCAATGACTTCTCAGTTTACTTAATCTCCCTACCCATGTTTCTCCAAAACGGAGTAATTATAATAAAATGACAAGTTAGAGTTTTTTTTAAAAAAACTTTATTGAGTTGGAGTTTACATAATACCATGCCATATTTTAAGTGTACATTTTCATAGCCTTGCCAAATATGTACATGGATGTAACCATTGCCCCAAGCAAGAACTTTTCCATCACCTGAAAAATTTCTCATGTATACCCTCCACCATCAGTATCACCACTACCACCACCATCATCCCACACTTCCTTTCTCTGGCAACCATTGTTGTGATTTCTGTCACAATATATTAGTTATGCCATTTTAAAAGAACCTCACATGAATGGAATCCCAGTGTGCTCTTTTGCGTCCAATTTCTTTTGCTCAGTATAATGTTTTTAAGATTCACCCATGTTATTGCATGAATAAACTTTGTTTTATTGCTGAGAAGTGTCCTATTTTATGAGTATACTATAATTTTTTATATTCATTCATCTGTTGAGGACCATTTTGGTTTAAAGTTTTGGGATGTTGTGAAGAAAAAAACCTTTTTCCTTTTTTTGTAATGTATTTTTCTGGTTTTAGTATCCAGATGATGTTAATCTCATAAAAGGAGTTTCAAAGTATTCTCTTTTTCTCCATTTGCTGAAATAATTTTTAAGAGCAGTGTTATTCCTTCTTTAAAATGTTTGGTAGAATTTACTAGTGAAATCATCTGGGCCTGGAGTTTCTTTGTGGAAGGATTTTAATTGTGCCTTTCAGTATATTTATTAGTTTCATCTAGGTTGTCAAAGTTAATTGGCATCAGATTTTTCATAATACACTTTTTTAACCTTTTAATTTATATGGGATCAGCAGTAATGTCACCTTTTTCATTTTGATATTGATTTGTGTTTTCTCTTTTTCTTGCTAGGGGTTTTCCCATTTTATTAATATTTTCAAAGAAACAGATTTTGATTTTATTAATTCTCTCCATTGTTTGTGTGTTTGTTTTGCTTGTTTATTGATTTTTCACTCTTTTTTTCTACTTCCTTTGGATTTAATTTGTTCTTTTTTCAGTTTCTTAAGCTTAGATCATTAATTTCAGTCCTTTCTTCTTTTCTAATACAAGCATTTAAAAATACAAAGTTTCCTTTGAGCACTTCTTTGTTTGAAATTATGCAAACTTTGGCTTTTTAAGATATCATTATTCAGTTAAATATTTTCTAGTTTATCTTTTATTTCTTTGCTTAATTAGTTATTTAGAAGTATATTTTACAAACATTTTGAAATTTTCAAATGTTTTAATTATTTATTTTTCGTTAATTTTTTTATGGTTAGAAAATATATCTGTTTCACTTCAATCTTTTAAGTATATTGAGACTTCTTTTAAAACCCAGAGTATAGTCTGTCTTAGTGAATGTTTTTATGTGTACTGAAACTAACGTATGTTACGCTGTTGTTGGATGTGGTGGTTTATAAATGTCACTTAGGTCAAGTTGGTTGATAGTGTTGTTCAAGTCTTATAAATATGTACTGATTTTCCTTTTTCATTTCTATAGTAACTAAGATGGGAATGTTATTTTCTACTACATTTGTGAATATATCCATTTCTCCTTTCAATTCTGTCGGTTATTCATATATTTTTGTAGTTCTCTTATTGGATATGTACACATGTAGGATTGTTATGTCTTCTTGATAAACTGATCCTTTTATCATTTATGAAAGATCCTTTTTGATTTCTGATAATTTTATTTGTCCTGAAGTTACTTTGTCTGATATTACTATAGCTACTCTGGTTTTCAAACTTTTTTTTTTATGATTTGTGTATAGTGTGTGTTTTTCCATCCCTTTGCTTTTAACCAATCTATGTCTTAACATATTTACAATAATTTTCATATTGGTCACATGTAGTTGGGTATTGCCTTGTTACCAATCTGAAAATCCTTACCTTAAATTGCTATGTTTATGTTTATTGCCACTTTTACTTAACTTATTTATTGCTGTGGTTCAGCTTAAGTCCATCATCTTGTTATTTGTCTTCTGTTTGTCCCATTGGATCTTTGTCCTTTTTTTCACTTTTCCTGCCTTCTTTTAAATTAGCTGAGTGATTAAGTATTTTTTAATTTAAATACATTTATTTAGTATTTAGCATACACATTTTTAACTTATCACTATCTACCTTAATATTACATAATACTACTTCATATATATTAGATGAATTTTAATATGCATTTCAATTTTTCCTTCTTTTCTCATCATCTTATGCATTTTATTTCTCCCTGCGTTATAAACCTGACAATACATTATTACTATTTTTGTTTTAAACCATAATGTATCTTTTTTTAAAACTACAAACTGATAAAGTTATGTTTGAAGTCCGTTTTCTTCAACCTGAATACCTTTTCCATAACATTTCTTATGTTACAGATCTACTGATAAAACAATTTTTTTCTCTATTTCACTATTTTTTTTTTTTTTTGAAACAAAGTTTCATTCTTGTTGCCCAGGCTGGAGTGCAATGGCTTGGTCTCAGTTCACTGCAACCTCTGCCTCCCAGGTTCAAGTGATTCTCCTGCCTTAGCCTCTCAAGTAGCTGGGGTTAGAGGCGCCCGCCACCACACCTGGCTAATTTTTTTGTATTTTTATTAGAGACAGGGTTTTACCATGTTGGCCAGGCTGGTCTCAAACTCCTGACCTGAAGTGATCTGCCCGCCTCAGCCTCCCAAAGTGCTGGGATTACAGGCGTGAGCCACAATGCCCAGCCTATTTTTGAATATTTTATGGGATATAGAATTCTAGTTTTTTTTTTCATTTAGCACTTTAAAATTATAGTTTTATTGTCTTCTGTACTCCTTTTTTTTCTAGTGAGAAGCCAGTGATAATGCTTTATTTCTCTGATTAAACTATGTCTTGTTTTTCCCTTTAGCTACATCTTTGATTTTCTCTTTATTGTTAGTTTTTAGCAATTAGATTTTGAAAGGTGTTAGAGTGGCTTTCTTTATGTTTACCATTTTGGGGGTTCACTGAGCTTCATAGTACTGTAGGTTTATATATTTCATAAAATTTGGAAAATTTTGGCAGTTCTTCAAATATTATAGTTTTCCCTTCCTTCTGTGATTCCAGTTATACAAATAGTAGATTTTTTGATATTATCTCACAGATTACTAAGACTATATTCAATTTTTTCAGCCTTTTTTCCCTCTGTTCTTTTGTATTGATAGATTCTGCCTTTAAGTACAGTGATTTTTTCTTCTTCAGTGTCTACTCTGCTACTAAGGCCATCCAGTGACTTTTTCCATTTCAGATATTGTATTTTTTTCTAGCTCTAAAGTTATTTTTGGTCTTTTTTATAGTTGTCAACTCTCATGTTGTGTTCATGTTTTCCTTTATAGCCTTAAACATATTTATAATAGCCATTTTAAAGTTTTTCTCTGCTAATTTCATCGTATGTCATGTTATGCTTTGAAAAGTCATATTGAAATTTAATTGCCATTGTAATACTGTTGATCTAATCACCTTCTACCTTCATTAATAGATTAATACCATTATCTTTGGAGTGGGTTAGTTATCTCGAGACTCCAGCCCCACTTTTCTCTCTGCGTTGTATGCTTGCCTGGCCTTCTGCTTTCCACGGTAGAATGATGTAACATGAAGGCCTTTGCCAGATGCTAGCACCTTGATATTGAACTTCCCAGCCTTCATGAGCCAAATAAACTTCTATTGTTTACAGATTACCCAGTCCGTGGTATTCTGTTATAGCAACACAAAACAGACTAAGACATGTTATTTCTGGTTTAGTTTCTATATACTTATTTTTTCCCACTTTTTTGTTCTATCATGGTCAGTACATTTTAATTGAATGCTGGACACTGTGAATGTTATGTTTTCAATTGTTTGAATTTTGTTCTTATTTCTTAATAAGAATTCAGTTATTTTCTGGAAGTCAGTTAATTTACTTCAAGATCAACCTGATCTTCTGGAACCTGATCTTCTGGAAGTTTGTTTTTAAGTTTTGTTAGGATGGTTATAGAGTAGCCTATCTTCTAGAGCTACTTTAGCCTTCTAAGGTGTGAACCTGGGTCTCTGCTGGATGTCTCACATGTTCAGTGAGGATTTTCTACTTCAGCTGGTTGGATCAATAAGTATCACTCAATTCTAATCAAGTTCTGGTAATTGTTAAGATAACAGCTCCCTAGCAAATTTTCTTTCTCCAACAGTTATTCTTTGCTCTGTGCATGCCCAGCCTAGTATGCTGCCCAGGGAACTCTCATGCAGATTTCTGGAGCTTTTTTTATGTGTGTCTTTGTCTTCTTCAGGACCCTGTTCCACAGATTTCAGTCACCTCAACTTTCCTAAATGCCGAACTCTGTCTCCCCAGTTCAGCAAGATCCTGTGCTCTTCTTGAATTTTTCTCTTCTTACGTCACCAGAAAAAAACAGAGTTATCAAAAGATAACACATGTGCGTGTGTGTGTGCGAGTGTGTGTGGATGGATATTTTGTGTATATGTATTTTTCCATGATCTGGGATCCCAGTCCTATACAACACAGTTGTTCAGTGTCTGAAAACTGTTGTTTTATATATTTTGTCCAATTTTTTATTAGTTTATGATAGGAAGGTTAGTCTGGTATTAGTTCTCCATCATGGCTGGAAAGCAGAAGTAAAAATGTATCACTTGTCAGTATAAGGAAGAAGCATTAGGGCAAGATATATCAATCAAATGAAACTTTTACAGTGCCTTGTGGAGTTATAAGCAGAAGAGAGGGAAAATGCCAACAGATAGATGCAGAGCACCTTGTAGAGAATAAACAAAAGGAAGAAGTAAGAAGGTCATGGAACAAAGACTCTGCAGAGAAAATGACTGGGTTTTCTATGATCCAGTAATTCCAGAAATCTCTTTGTTTAGGGTTGAATGAAAAATAATTTCAACAAGAATCCTAGGTATTAATCTCAAGTTCTGGTGGGTGGGTAAAGAAAAGAGACAATTCCCTGGTCAACAGTGGAATTGGGAGAATAGCAGAAGCACAAATAGAAGTGAACTAAAAAGGAAAGAGTAATTATAAAATGTTGTATTATAACTTGGATTCAGAGTTTCTTGACAGGCATAGGAGAGCAGTATATAGTAATTTGTTCCTTTTTTCTAAGGCACGAGACCAGAATCAAAGTAATTAAATAACATATTCATTATTTATACGTTCTTCATATACTCTGTACTCCATAAAAAAAACAGTGAGTGCACATTAAAATATTTAATTATGTCTAGTATGCGGTGAGTGGCAGTGGGAAATTACCCAAGGATGTGACAGGGAAGCTGGGAAACTGCTTGAATTGGGAAGGAATTAGAATTAGGAAAAACTATTTTAAAATTCATATGGAACCAAAAAAGAGTTTGAATAGCCAAGGCAATCATAAACAAAAAGAACAAAGCTAGAGGCATCATGTTAACCCAACTTCAAACTGTTATTACAAGGCTACAGTAACCAAAACAGCATAGTACTGGTACAAAAACAGATAATAGACCAATACGACAGAATGGAGAGCCCAAAAATAAAGCTGTACAGCTAACATCATCTGATCTTTGACAAAGTCAACAAAAAACAAGCAATGAGGAAAGGACTCTGTATTCAATAAATGATGCTAGGGTAAATGGCTAGCCATATACAGAAAATCGAAACTGGACCTCTTCCTTACACGTTATACAAAAAATCAACTCCTACCTATTGGATACTATGCCTATTACCTGGGTGATGAAATAATCTGTACATTAGATCCCCATGATACACAATTAACCTATGTAACAAACCTGCATATGTACCCCTGAACTTAAAATAAAAGTTAAAAACAAGCCTGAAAAAACTAGTATTAGCACTTTAGAAACTAGGGATGAAAGCCTCTGTGACTTTAGCAAATCAGGAGAGTGAATATGGATTATAACTCAATAGAAATTGCTATAATATAGTACATGTAAGTAGAGAAGTTGAAATACGTATTACAGATTTAGAGTAGCCCAAGGCTTTCTAGGAAAAGATACAAGAATAATATATGCTGTGTATCCATCAGTTAGAGTATTATAGTTTTATTCAGTACATATATATTAGTCACCAAACATATGTACAGTATTATTTAAGACACTTTTCAAATACAGATATTTTGTTAATTACTTTTTTAAAGAAATACCAAATCCTGTTGAGGACATGGAGCAGCTGAGACTCTCATTCATTACTGGTGGGAATACAAAATGGTATAGATGCTTTGGGAGACAGTTTGGCAGTTTCTTAAAAAACTAAGCATATACCTCACACCTGTAATCCCAACACTGTGGGAGGATCATTTGACACCAGGAATTTGAGACGAGCCTGGGAAATATAGCAATACCCTGTCTCTACAAAAAATAAATTGAAAAAATTAGCCAGGCATGGTGGTGTGTGCCTGTAGTCCCAGCTACTTGGGAGGCTGAGGGAGGAGGATCGCTTGAACTCAGGCGTTTGAGACTGCAGTGAACCATGATTGTACCACTACTCTCCAGCCTGGGTGACAGAGCAAGACTCCATCTTTACATAAAAACAACAATTAAGCATACTCTTACCGTATAACCTAGCAAATCACACTCCTTAATATTTACCCATATGATGTGAAAACTTATGTTCATACAAAACTTGCACATGAATGTTTATAGCAGCTCAATTCATAATTTCCAAAACTTGGAAGTAACCAATATGCAAATGAATAAATGAACTAATATATTCAGACAATGGAATATTATTTAGTGCTAAAAAGGAATAAACCATCAAGTCATGAAAAGACATGGGGTAACGTTAAATGCATATTACAGAGTGAAAGATCTGAAAAAGCTACATACTGAATGATTTCCACTATATGATACTGTGGAAAAGGCAAAACAATAGAGACTGGAAAAAGATAAATTATTGCTATAGGTTGGGTGGCTAGGGAGGATGGTGGAACACAGGAGATTTTCAGGCCAGTTAAATTATTCTGTGTGATACTACAAGAGTAGATCGTGTCATGATCCATTTGTTAAAATCCGTTTGTTACAACACCAAGAGTGAACTCTAATGTAAACTATAAACTTTAGGTGATGATGTGTGAGAAGGTGCATCACTGGTAACAAATGTGCCACTGTGGTGCAAGTATGTTCATAGTTGTGGAGGTTGTGGCATGGGGGCAGGGAATATGTGGGAATTATTTGTACTTTCCACTGAACTTTTCTGTGAACTTAAAACCACTAAAAAATAAAATTGATTAAATAAAAAGAGACGCTAGTTTATGCAACATTTCAGGTGGTCTGTGGATTGACAGAAAGAGCATGTACTCATCTGCCATTAGATTTAAGTTCCTTATGTATTGAGCCAATGTCACAAAATCTTGTCAGAGTTTATATAGCCACACAGTGCAGAAACAGATACATAATGCTTTCCATAGCCCAGTTCCCTAATGCAGGGCCTTTTCTAGGGTGTGTTGGGTCCTTGTCTGCATACACAATTTTACTAAATATTATATTACAAAAGTTACAGTGATTTAATGATGAAGATTCAGAATATGGGATAGAGAAAAGAAATTTACCCATTCACTTATTGTCCGATCAGTGCACATGAAGATTGTTTGTAGTGTCCAGGCACCATTTTTTCCTGTTCAGGTCTGAGAACTTTCTCTTCTTGTCCTTTACTGTCAAATTCACCACTTCTGGCTATTTAAAAAAGTCTTCTACCATGAGAAAAAGACAGCAATGTTGTTATTACTCATAAAGCTATGGCTCTTTAAAATCTGTTTGTATTGAAGCAGAGTAGACAGATTATTTATCTCTGTAGTTCCCAAATACTATTAACTTAATACTTGTTATATTGTTACTTATGACACTGCATTACTGACTTCCAGAGACTTGAAAGTTGTTACCACATTTAATAGGTGATGATCAAATACAGTTCTTAACCCAGGGTGTTCAGCAAAGTGTGAATGATCATTTATTTTCCGGTCATGTTAAATTTACCATTGGGAATTTTAAATATAAGCACAGAACAGCACATCTTCCAACCAAATCTTCCCTTGAACTCTTGAGGCCATAAACACTGTGTTCCTAGAATATGCTCCCTTTCAGTGTTGACTGTACCCCTGCTTTCCCCCACACTGCCACAAGGAATAGTCAAGGACTATGTTGTTACCAGAGGCTATGTTCAAGATTTCTTTTCCTTTTTTTTAACTTTTCAACATGATTGTACTACTGTTAAGGAATGGAAACAACCACCAGAAATCTTTGATTGCCCTCCATTTGGTAGCTACTGTTTACTTCTTGGAAGCCAAGGTTGCTTAGAACATCACTTAAATTGCCTTTTCCTTCTAGAAGTGTCAGACTTAGAAATTAAGTCACACTATTAGACATGAGGGACTGCTGAAGAAAATGGTATGAGCAGACTGTGGCATGTCTGTCAGAGGTTCCTTGATGCTGGTAAAAGAGGTAGTGGGTTATGATGGCTTCTACTGACTTGTCCTAAGAATCAACACAAATGTATTTAGGTTTTATTATTATAATAAAGGGAAACTTGAAGTGGGAGAAAATGAGATTGTAAATTGATTTTTTAAAGATATCCAGATACCACTTTAAAAAAAATGGATTAACTCTTCTCATGGCTTAGGAAATTCACACCCACCCCCTTTACAGAGAAGCTTCTGATTACACCACCTCTTGTCAAGTTAGATGCAGCAGTGAGTGATGTGAAATCATTTCTTAATTATCTGTATTAATGGATGGAGAATAATAAATGGCAAAGAAACAAATGAAAATGCTGATTTTAATATAAGGTATTTTTTCCCAAGTGTATTTTCCTTTGACCAGGACCAGCTACATAATTCCTGAGGCACAGTGCAAAATGAAAATGCTGGGCCCCATGTTCAAAAATTAAGGCTGTCAAGATGGCATTATTAGGTACCTAGATAGGGGGTGAATGAGAGTCTCATCTTCACTGGGACATGGCCTCCAGGCACCTGCCATATGCACCATGACTGTGGGCATGTGCTCCTAAACCAATGCCCAGGCATCTGCCTGGGCTGAGGACAGCAGCAGTCACTGGAGAGGGGACAGGGAGGGGGAGGCCAGGTAGGACCTGGGGCAGCAAGATGGGGTAGCAGTGGCCAAAAACCACACAGCAGGAGGCAGGGATGCCTGTGAGCCTAGCCTACAAGTCCCTGAAGCATGCTTTTTTGTCTCATTAGACCACTTACAACAGAAATTAACAGTGAAATTATTAAGAAATCTTAGATGGCAACTGCAAAGTATTAAAAGCATTAAACCCCAGGGGCCCTGTGTGATTGGCCATACATCCGTGACTGCCCCTGCCTTGGACTTTTACCAGTGTGTACTGTTAATATCACCTGATCATGTGGGAAGCACTGTAGAATTATGCTGACTTTGACAGGAGGAGTGAACATGTCACATAATTTATAATGTAGATAACCTTGACATATGACATCAAGAATTGATGATAGTTTAGATTCTAATAAATTCATTAGTGAACTATTTTTATTGCACAAACCCACATTAAGGTAGAGGGATGGAGGAGGATGACTATGTTAGTCTGTTCAGGCTTCTGTAACAAAACACCGTAAACTAGGTAGCTAACAAACAACAGAAATGTATTTCTTATACTTCTAGAGGCTGGGAAGTCCAAGATGAAGGTATCAGCAGATTTAGTGTCTGGCGAGGGCCTTATTCCTAATAGATGGCTGTCTTCTCACTATAACTTCATAAGAAGGAAGGGAAGAGCTCTGATCTCTTCAATCCCTTATAAGGGCACTAATCCCATTTATGACAGCTCCACTCTTATACCCTATTCGCTTCCCAAAGGCCCCACCTTTTAGTACTAACACATTGCAATTAGGTTTCAACATATGAATTTTGGGAGTACACAAACATTCAGACCATTAGCAATGGCTAAGTAAGGCTCACTACTTACTGGAGTTGAAAGTTACATTAGGGACTATAAAACAAGACAGTCATGATGTGTGCTATAATAGAGATAAAAACAAGAACAATAGGAAAACTAGGAGTAAAGAGATTAACTTTGACAGGCAATGTTGACAAGCCTTGTGAAAAAAAGAATGACTTTAGTCAGGCCATGTTGGATAAGTAGAATTTCTACTCCCAGAGATTTGTCCTTCCAAACCAAAAGGGACAGTATGAGCAAAGATAGTGAAATGCAGAGCTTGTTGATAGATAATGCCTGCATGTGGAGACATTCAGGCATTATTTTATTATATTGACTGAACATCTATTTTCCAGACACTAAAATGAAAGCAGGGATGTGAAAATACAGAATTTGGAATTAGACAAAGCCACATTTGAATCACTATTTACCACTTACCAGTTGTGTGACTGGAGACAACTTGCATAACTAAGCCTCAGTTTTAGTCATCTGTAAAATAAAGATATTAGTTTTGTTGAAGTATTATACGTATAAAGATTAGGTGAGATAATGTTTGTGAAACACTTCAACCAGCACTCTCAGTCTGGATAAGGAGAAAAGCAAGTAGACTTATAAATGTGATAATAAATGCTATGAAGGCACAGAAAAGGGTGGCCATCTCTGCTCGAGGGTGTTGTGCAAGGCTTCATGAAAGAGGTGATATTTGAACTGAAGTCTGAAGGGTAAGTCATGTGTTTGTAAGCCGAGGAAAACTGAAAAAAATTCTTCTTAGGGTGAAGTTTGAAAATGAACTCCCTTTGTAATCTGTGTGGGGGGAGGGTGGGGATAAGGATGGAAGATTAGCAAGCAAGAAAAGGATGATCATATGGCCTTTAAATCTATGTATAAAGACAAAAAATAATGTCTCATTACCACCCCAAACCACTTTTACCTGATTCAAAATATCAGACTCTTCTGAGAAGACAGAAGACCTTCTGTGGTGAGCTCACCCTCATGTAAGATGTAAACAAGTTTGCATGAGAACTTCTGCAGCAGATGTTGTCTATATTTTCTTTCCTTTTTGAAACCGAATCTTGGTTGCTCTGTAGCCCAGGCTAGAGTACAGTGGTACAATCATGGCTCACTGTGACCTCTGCTTCCCCAATTCAAACAATTCTCCTGTCTCAGCCTCCCAAATAGCTGGGATTACAGGTGTGCCCCACCACACCTGGCTAATTTTTGTATTTTTAGTAGAGATGGAGTTTCACCATGTTGATCAGGCTGGTCTCAAACTTCTGGCCTCAAGTTATCCACCTGCCTTGGCCTCCCAAAGTGCTAGGATTACAGGCAAGAGCCACTGTGCCCAGCCCTATATTTTCTTCTTTCCAGAAGTCAAGAGCCAGGAGAGAGTGAGTGAAACTCTTTAAAAAAATATGGTTACTTTTTCTTACTCTCATGTGGAACATTTTGCTTAGTTGGTAGACATTTATAACAAGACATGATTGGCTCTTTTAAAAATAGGAATCTTAGTGGTTGATATGTTTTGCCATGTGTTTTACAGTGCACATCTTTTTGTGTTTTCTTCCAGCCTGAACACTTGCCTTTGCAGACTCAGTTCAAAGAAAGAGAAGTTGGCAATCTTCAGCACTCTGTAAGTAACTGTGTTGTCGGTATCAGCCCAGGTGGAGCTGGTAGCTAACGTGCTTATTAAAATATCATTTAATTGTATACAAGTTCATTTTATTCATCTTTCCCCTATTTGAGTGTCTCTGCTAAGATCTGGTAGTCCTTGAATTTTACTCTTAGAAGTAATCAAGTTTTATGAAACCAATAACGGGCAGAAGAGTCTGTCCCAGAGACACCACAGAACATCATGGGGGGTTCATTTTATAGGTGCTAGCTGTGGCAAGGTCAAGCCAGAAGGAAAGGTCAAGACAAGAGGATATTTTTGGCAGAGTTTCTTTTCAGTTTTATCAGGCATATGTTCAAATGCCAGTTCATTTTGCTGTGTCCGTTCCCCAGTTCCCCAGAGCTGAGTCGAGGTTTCTTTTGTTTGGTTGGCTTAATTCTCTGTATGTCTCATATGTTCATTTCAAGCTTGAGCCTTGCTTAAGAGACTTCTGAGGTTTATAACCCTGTTCTTCTCCAGTTTACCTTAACTGATAGCAACTCCAAATTTTAAAATGTGAAACTGATCCCAGTCCCCATTAGTCACAATTTTGTATTTAGGAGCTACTACTATTCTTATTCAGGGTATTGTAAGCGACAAATGACTGGAAAATATAAGTTGTTGAACTTTACCTTGCCATTCAATAGTTTTTGGCATAATGAATCAGGGACACTAAACTGTAGTGAATTCTATTCTTGCCTGTTTTTACCAGTGCTAGAAAAATGCAAACAGCTGCTCTGCTAATGTAAGCAATGTTTGAATTTTTAGAATGGACTAAATAGCAGGAGTTTTGACTATGAAGATGAGAATCCAGTTGGGGAAGATGGCATTCAGCAGATGTACCCCCTTTACAATCAAATGTGCTACCAAGACCGGAGCCCTGGCAAACATCATCAAAATAACGACCCTAAGAGAGTCTACATCGACCCACGAGAACATTATGTGTGATTTTTCTCTTTTTCCAATGGGCGTTCTAACAAATGTTTATTCTTAGATTGGGGAGAGAAGCTAAGGCCAATAGTTATTTTACTGTCTCTCATATAAGAACAGTCCCACTCTAAGGGTATTGGAAGTCTTAATGAATGACGTAAAGCCAATAGCAAATTTCTTTTCTTCATTAAGCGTTTCTTAACCACCAGCTGTGTTTGTGAACTTGACTATAGCTTTGTGTGTTTCTGTGATGATGGTATTTAACTGCTAACATTTGGCCTACAATGGCATTTTCATTTAACAGTACAGCATCTGCCTGTGATAACTGCAGTGATTCTCCAGAAAGAAAGGCCCCAGCTGATACTATTAACCTCGTTGGGTCTCAGGCATGCTAGCCTGTTCATCTGTAATTCACACAGGCATAAAAATGAGTTCAGAATCTATTTCACTAATTATTTAGCTGGGATTTGGATTTCCCTGACATGCTTAATACAATTACAATACCTGTGTACAAACAGAGGCCTGAGGAAAGAGGCAAAATTTGCTTTTCATCCAAACAGCAACAAAAGGCAGTTGAAACCTTCAAGCCTGTTGGTTGCTTTTAAACCTTTGTGTTATTATGATATATATTCTTTGTTGAGCACTGAGGTCCTGAGGGATACATATCTCTTGCTGTTTTCTGCCTACTTTTGACTAGCTGTATGTAACAAAGGCTCTACTTTTGCTCTGTCACTGTTCCTACAGTCCTGTTCTTTACTAGCTAGATTAGCCTATTTTGCACCTATTAAATTCTAAAAACCTTGTTTAAATGGTGTACAGCCTTTAACCTTGTTCCTCTTTTCTCTAGTATTGTACATGACAGGCTCAGCTTTCACTTCTGAAATTTCTTTCAAACTAATCCCAGCCACACAGTCTTCACCTCCCCTTCTGCATTCTTCAGACTACTTATCATCCATGTTTTATCTACCTCAGAAAAGCCTGCTGGAAAGTCACCATGAAATAACTTCTGCTCTTAAAAGCCAGGTGAAAATTTAGAAAACTTAAAAGAAAAGGCACTTCAATATGGCACGTATGTTAAACTGACATGTTTTTTATCCCTTCTCCCCTACTTTACCTGGTCACCAAGAGTCAAGAGATGCTAAAAAGTAAATAATATAATGACTTATCTACTAGGGTATCCCGCAACACTTTAGTGTCTGTAAATGTGTCTTGAGTTTTCTCATCTCCCTTTGCCAGCTTTCCATCCCTGAGATTGACAGTAGTAATTACAGTGAGATAATTACAGAGCAGAGGTGGAAGGAATGTAGTTTCACATGAATGTCCATCGCTTCCCTCACATCTTAAGGAAAGCATCTTACTTTGTATTCTGGAAGGTTAGAGGTGTGTCAGAGGTATAGAAAATACTACAGAGTGTTTAGGAAAGAGTGACATAAGCAATAAAATACATTAAGTATATTTCCAACCTAACTTCAAGGGTAGAGGAGAATGTTAGCATAGATTTCTAATGAGATGCCAAAGATACGTTATGATTTATGTCGTGCTGGCTCTAGTTCTTCTTTGTGTGTTTGTTTCTTCTTTCTAGTTGCCATGCTTTATCAAATTATCTAGGTAGTTCTACAGCCGAAATATATTCTCCCCCATTTACGCGAGTGACCAGCAACTCTGGGAGACAGGATGCTTAGATTTCAACTCAATGCTTTAGCTAGGTAATTAGCAGTTTTAAAGTCTGTAGCTGTAAGGATCAAAGGGTGAATTTCAAGGACGCCCATTGCTACTGTGCTACCTCAGAGTAGGAGTGTACTGCCCTTTGTAGCAAAGAAAATATTCAACTTTATTATTTGGAAGGCCAACGCTGAGTTAGTATAACTGAAGGTGTAGGAATCCTGGCATTTGTCTTCCGATAGGAGGATGGCTGTGATCAGAGCTCTGCTTGACAGGGAAGTGTTTCATAAACACTGGATGTTATGGAGGCAATAAGGGGGTATGTCAGCTCCTTTAGAAAGCTTTAAAAATGTCAATGTCTTACATGTTGGGGATGGTTTCCAGGGTCCTGCTGGGAAGTAAATTGTTGAATTAGTTCACAAAAGCATACTATAGACCCAGGGGAGTAGCTGTCTTCATTTGCACCAGAGAAAGGGATCTGGAAACACTGGTTCTCAGGAGCCCTGTGGCCTGTCTTCAGCACCCTCCATACCTTGAGGAACCCACTGTCTACCTTTTAAAATTCTCAGTGTAGTTATGGAAAAGAAATTTCAGGATGTAGTCTCACCTCTCCTGCAGCCAGTGAGTTCAGTATCTTCTTTGCCTTGTGTCAGCTAGGATACTTCTTTAACAAACTGGTAGATGTTATAGCTCTTGGCCCTTTACACAGGTCATAGAAGCTCTATAATAGCTTATCCTGGTGCCTTCCATCTGTTCTCTCTAAAAACTGGGCTAAATAGAAAGCAGCTTTAAAAGGGTTTGATCAACCAGGCCTCTCTACCAAAAATTGCCATCCAAAAGTAGCCTGTTGGTCTCTAAATTTGGAGCCTAGACTACTTGACAATGCCATTTAAATTTGGAAGTTAGGTTCTTAAAGGTCAGCGATTGAGGTTTAGGGAATAATCCATAGCTGATATTAGATGCTCTTTCCATAACTTGTTTAGTAAAACACTCTGAAACAGAAATAAATCCTCAGAGCGCTTATCTACTTATGGTTGCAGCTCTGCACTTCTGGGTGGGGTGTGCATGCTTACCTTAAACGCACAGCCTTTATTGCCTATTTTGTAGGCAGCCCAAGAGTATGCCTTGGAGTATGCATTGTTGCTACAGTAGCAGATCACCGTGTTCTTTGCACACCACATGCAATGGTATAAGAAGTCCATGCTCTTTGGGGTATGTAATATAAAATTCTTACCGGGGCTATGCTTCTGTGTAACATGTACATAATAGATACTTAAGAAATGTGCTGAAAACTACAATGAACTGGTTTCCCCATTACTTTCCTATGGGCTTGTTTACTTAAAGGGACAAGATAGTTTCTTCATCCTGCTATTGCAAATGATTTCCTAAGACCTCTTTCACAGTAGTCTAAAATTCACTATTTGGTTTTCCATTTTTCACTCTTTTCCTGCACTATGCTGGTTTTCCGGTGCTATTCTTTATATACAGTAGAGCCTTCCTTTAAGCCTCATTCCCTGGAGTTTGGAAGATAGACCATTTACCAAGAATCAAAACAGGTACTCCCAACTTCACCTCTTTCTAGCCATTCAAACAGGCAAGTCACTTAACCTGTCTGGGGTATCATTTGCAACCTCTCAGAATTGTGGTGAGAGTTAAAGAAGATGATAATGGATGGGAAATTGGAGAATTGTAATTTTCCTTCAAACTGACAAATGCCTATGACTCTGTTATTGTTGCATATTGAACCTAAATGTCCAGGGCCCTTGCCAGCATTTAGAATACTGTAGTTTCCCTAGGGATTACCAAGTGGCAAAATGAAAAATTCAGTTTGATCGAATTCACGTATAGCCAAGTGCAAGTTAGAGAACTTCCTTTTACTATAACAAATAATTGTCATGTGAAAAGCTTTTTGTCTGAATCTTAGCTGCTTAGGCTTTAGCTAGAATTGAAAATGCATGTTACTATTACCAGTATTTGCTCTTATTTTAAAAATTACTACTAATAACAAATAACATCATTGAGTACGTAGTATGGATTGGGTTCTAGGGCAAATACCTTACATGAATCATCTCAAGGAATAGAACCAGACTCCTGTTTTGCCCTCTTCCCAGGAGCTCCTGTGGGACAGACAGGCCCATACTCCCCTGCTGTACAATCATAGGGCATGCTGAGCATCAGTTGGCTGTTACTTCTTTCAAATCTGCTTTTGGGGAGTGGGGAACATAGTTTTTAAATTATTTTTAAAGCAAAGATATAAGAGAGTATATGGAATAAAACCATAAGAAATGTTTATTAAGACAAAAGCAAGTACATATGCTCTTTTTTTTTACTTTACTATGGGTAATTCAAATGCTCAGACTCTCATATTCATTAGATTACCCATAGCTATAAAAACAACCAACCAAATAATTATAACCACTCCATCTCAGTTGGCTCAATTTTAGTGGGCACAAACTTCTCTCTAACATCTCTCCCTCAACTTAGTTGTTCGATATGCTCATTGCTGTGTTTGTTTCACCTTTACTGAACTCCCAGGAGTGGCGACACTCCTATACTGGACAACTGGAAAGAAGCCAAAAAGACAGAAGAATAGAAAAGCATCAAATAGAAATGTCACAGTCCCCACCCGTGGCTCAGCTCTGTGGTTCTCTTCTTCCTGTGTTTGGCTGACAAGGACCTTCCTTCATTCTGAAGTCATTTGCAGACCTTATAGCAGGACCAGGGACTTTCATCCCCATTAAACTAGAAGCTGCTATTTGCAGGCTTATTTCAACTGTAGACTATGACTGGATTAATATTGTTATATCTATAAAAATATTGGGTTTCCTCCACTAGAGAAAATTATAACCTGGCCTTTGCCAGTTTGGGCGCTCACAATTATTAGGTTGTTTTGGTAGCCTTCAGTAGATAGAAATGTGTGAGGGCTATAGGGCTCCCAACCTCACCAGGTGGTACTTTACACTGAAATCAGGTCTTAGACCAAGTGCTGCGTCATGTGTGTTTATGAGCAAGCAGGCACCAGAACAGTCATGCAACCTGTCCTGTAAGCTTGAAAAAGTCCCAATTCTGTCCTTCTGTGCAACCCAACATTATCCTACCTAGAAGAGTTATTAGAAGTGAATCCAGCAATATTCTAGCAGATTCAGTCAGCCAAGTCAATTCTTAGTTTCACTTCTAAAAGAATAAGTTAGAAATCCCAAACTGCTGGGCTTGTCAGATTCTTATACACTGCTTGTGGAAGGTCTAGGGTGCCCTACAATATTTGGGCCGATCCACATATCTCTAACACCATTAATATGAATCATTGGAAATATTTTACTTATTAACAAAGTCTCTTGTGTTAAGCTACAGATAAAGCTTTTGTGGTAGTGTCTGAAGTGACTAGAGTTTTTTTCAAATGCTAGCAGCCCTGAAGTTGTATTCCCAATTAGGATATGTCAGACGTTAAGCAGGCACCCCCAGAGTAACTATTATGACTGATTAACATATGCCAAAATAATTTTTAAAAATTATATCAAGTATAACAGAACTTATTAAAGATTTCACAGGTTATTATACCCTCACACTAGGGTGGGGTGAAGCTCTTTACTGCTCTAAACTCAACAACCTGCTGTGTAGAGGTGAACTGGCACTTATCCTTAGTGACAGCCTGTTCATCCTTAGGGGTGTGTGTGTGTGTGTGTGTGTGTGTGTGTGTGTGTGTGTGTGTGTGTGTAAGAGAGAAAGAAATGTCTACTTAAAATTTGCAGCTCAAAAAAACATTTTGCAGTTCACATGTGCAAGAGAATCCCACCCCTGCAAACTTCTCTCAATACTTGAAACATTAGGTTACTGCTATGTTTTTTTCTATTATTGAGTTTGTTACTTTTCTCAAGTTTTAATTTGACTGTAGAAGTTTGAAGCAGAGTAGACTAAAGATAAAAGGGAACATAAACAATTCAGAAGAACACAAAAAATTTTGTCATATGTTTTCAATTGGGGCAATGACATATAAGTTCCCTCTGGGTCTCAAGGAGAGAGGATCTACCATTGACAAATAAAAACATTCTCCATTCCGTTAGTTATGAATAAATCCATCCCATTAATCCTTCCCCCGGAATATTCTAGTCAGTGTGTGGGGGCTGAGGTTATGATATATATCAAACAACATGCCTCCCTACATCAAAAAGTACTAGTTACATTCTGTATCTTAAAGCTGTGAGGTTTAGGATTAACTTCCATAATTTCAGAGGAATAGATGTTTTGAATATTATTGCCATATATATTTCCTGAAAACAACATTTCCATGAGTTGAAAATGGGCAGGGTACTGTCCTCTAAATGCTCCCATTCTGTAGCTGTGTTTACAGCTGCCACTAGCACATGATTTATAGAAGAGGCATATCAGCTGGACCCAAGGAGATGTACTCATGGACTTAAGATGATTAGATTATAAATGCCATCCCACACAATCTTTAATAAACAAAACCCAGGTGAGCTATATCATTCTTTTGCTGCATCAAAAGATGGGAAACCAAACAGTTGTCCTCTTGTGGTTTTTCCCAGCAATACAATTTATAAAGTTCCTATAATCAGGTGCCCTGTGACCCAGCAGGATCCTTGGTACCATGACCTAAATTGGTTGTATTTATTATCATGGTATGGAATTTGACTGTGAAAGTTGATTAGAGACCTTGAGGGAAAGCCTCCCTGGAGATCCAGAACATCAGATTTGCTATGCTGGCTTAGAACTGTGTCCTATCCTACTACAGATGTGTCTGTCAGCCATGAAGAGATGTTTTAGGTGTCTCTTCCAGAAGTTGATTTCCGCTAATAACCCACAGTGGATCTATGAATACCAGAGTTGTACGTGATTTTCCAAGTGAATAGGCGCCATTGTTTTGGTTTTAAATACCCTTTCCAGTAATGACTGGTATTTTTTAAAAACCTACCCTAGCATGTTGATCAGGCTAAATTAAGTTCCTCTCTCAAGCCTTATTGATGGCTCAGTGCCCATTATATTTTAACTACAGGTAACAGCAGTTTGTCCTAAATGCATTAGTTTGCACTTGTCCAGGTTGTAGCTCTTTTATGCCTCTGCTTTTTCCCACATGGTCTTATGAGAACATATTGCATATATTCCCTTCAGCTGAGCATTTCAATACCCAGACAAGTGTTTGTCATTTTAGGCCTCATCACATACTTGAAATTCCAAGTCCTTTTTAAAAGAAATGTTAAGTAGCTGGTGTTGCTACTAGATCCCTGGATTATTCCACTTGTCCATCCATAAAAGTTCCTGTTTATTCTCTACCTTCTGTTTCTATTTCTAAGCCAATGCTTTAAGACATAACATCTGCTCCAGCCTGTTCACTATCCATGTGGTTTTAAACTCTTAACTTTACTTCTTAGCTTCATCCCTGTAAGTAAGTGCTCTCTACCTCACAGGGGTCTTATGAGGGGGAAAAAATAAGATGTTTAAGGGTTGTTTTAAGAGAGAGATCCTTCTTTTAAAGTGATTTTATCAAAGCCCCTTGGGTTAGAAATGAAAAACTCTATAGCTATTTTTTTCCTATTCTCGTTTTGCTATTTTTATTTCTGAAAAGTGATCTGTCTGAAAAGAGCCTTATATCTGGTTTTAACTTCTCCTCATTGACCCTTTTCACAGTGAAATCTCTACTTTATCCATGCTCTGAACTTTTTATTTATGGAGCCCAAACTAATTTTCCCACAACAAATCTCACATACTTTTACTCCTATCATTAAACAAATTAATGTCCTCCACAAAGAAACATCTGGCTCTTCCTACAAGAAGTCAGAAGCTAATGAGGTCTCACTCTGGCCCTGGCAAGATCTCACAGTGTGCCTTGGTTCTCCCTGTGTAAACTGAGGTAGTCCGGCTATTCCCCAGCGCCCAGGTGTTGTGAGTCCTAATAAATGGTGAAAAGCATTTTGCAAATGTTCTGTACTATATAAATGCATAGTGCCTAATATGGAGAGTCTTCAAGCAAAAATGTGCTCTAGCTCAATTCAGAATACTAATTCACCCATTGTTTTCAAAAGAAATGTTTTACTAACCTGTTTTTTTTTCTTTTGTAAAATTAGTTTCTAGTCATTTGAACTGTTTTTATTTTGTGTATAGAAGTGATCAATAGTATATATTCTTGCTTGTCAGAGAATACCCAAGTTGTATTGTTAAATGTTAAAACAATGGGGTTACATAACAGTATAGTTGGATAGGGAGGAAGATTCTAGCTCAAAAGTTGCAAAATACAGAAATACAAAGATTAGCTTTGAATTGGAGATTGTACTATAAATAGTAGATGTTAATGTGGTGGTTTCTAGATATATACTTTATTTTTAAGTTACAAGAAATTGTCTTTTATTTTTGCAGTTTTGAACTATATGATTCTTTACATGTTTTAAATAAAGTTTTTATCAACTAAGATTTTTCATTTACATTATTATCAGTAAATTAAAATACATGTAAAAATTAACCTAATTACATGACTATAAAATTTAAATTTAAGATTTAAAGAACATCTTTTATGGCAACTAAGTTTCTATACTTTAGTCCTTTTTAAAAAGATTTTAAAAATAATAGTAGAAATGCTTTTATGCTTCAAGGAGCATTGGAAAATTTTTTTAATATGATGTTACTTATTATTGTAATTACTTACAATTACTTAATACCTTTTTAGTGAAGCTACATTTATTCCACTTAAATAATTATTGCTTATTCCTGATTAATCCTTAGGAGTTAAAATGTCTTTTCTTTTATAAAATTATATTGCTGCTTAATGATCACTAAATGTTCTCATTTACTGGTCCCCCTCCCCCACTCCAACCCCCAAAAAAGAAAAGTTGGCATCTATAATAGATTCCTGAACTTTGATTTGGGGATGCTTTACTGGTCTTAGAAATCCCAGAGTCTAGGGACTGCTTTTTTAAAAATAACTTCTTAGATACTATAGAATTCATCTTTTTAAAGTGTTAAATTCAGTGGTTTTGGTATATTCACAGAGTTGTACAACCATTACCACAATCAATTTTAAAATATTTTCATCACTCCAGAAGGAAACCCATGCACATTAGCAGTCATCCACCTCTCCTTCAAGTCCCTGGCAACCACCAATCTCCTTTCCATCTCTGTGGATTTGCCTATTCTTGACATGTTATATAAATGGGATCAGATACTACATAATTCTTTGTGACTGGCATCTTTTACTTAATATTTCTGAAGTTCATCCATGTTGTAGTATGTATCATTTCCTTATATTGCTGAAGAATATTCCATTGTATGGATATATATCACATTTTATCTACTCATCACTTGGTGGACTTTTGGGTCATTCACTTTTTGGAAATAATTATGAATTATGAATAATGCTGCTATGAACATTTGTGTACCAGTTTTGGGGTGAACACATGTTTTATTTCTTTTGCATCTATACCTAGGTATCTAATTGCTGGATCATATGGCAACTCTGTTGTTTAACTTTTTGAGGAACTGCCAAACTGTTTTCCAAAGCTGCTGCACCATTTTATATTTCCACCAACAGTGAATGGGGGCTCTACTTTCTTCACATTCTCACCGTGTGTTATTATCTCTTTTTTATTATTATTATAGCCATTCTAGTAAGTGGAAAGTGGGATTGCATTGTGTTTTTTATTTGAATTTTCCTGATGGCTAGTGATGTTTGTTTTCTACAACCCGTTAAGAAGATAAAGCCATTCTTAGCTTATAAATATAAACTGTATGAAAATAGGCTGTAGGCTGGATTTGGCCCATGGCTAGCCAACCTCTGACCTAGAGGATA
Organism: Homo sapiens; assembly: GCF_000001405.40. NCBI lineage: Eukaryota > Metazoa > Chordata > Mammalia > Primates > Hominidae > Homo > Homo sapiens. The sequence continues at coordinate 111,202,819 of NC_000003.12, forward strand.
GAATTAGTAGACAAACACACTAAAATAGGTATCATAAATACACTCTATATGTTAAAAAATGTAGAAGAAAGCATGAACCTATTAAAGATAGATATGGAAGATTAAAAAGAATGTACAAGGTAGAGTGCTGATAAATCGACTTGCTGGGTTTAAAAACAAAAACAAACAAACAAAAACCTTGAGTTGCGTCATTTGCTGATTTCCATGGTGTACCTGATATCACCAGGGCCAGTTTTAAGCTACCAGCATGACACCACTGAACCTGAAGCTGAGAAGGGATGTGCACTATCAGCACTTGCAAGCTGGTCCCAGCTGACTCTAGCACATTATTGATGTAACCACTTCTGACTGCATGACATATAGTAATCACTAAATATAGCTAACATCTTCAAAGCTGTCGTTGGTCTCCATTCCTACAAGCATCCAGTGGGAGGGAGAATATTTGCCTCTTCTCATTGTATTATGAAACTCCCAGATAGCCTTTTGCTTTTTCTCAGCCTTCATTACTCTGAAATCATAACTACATTTCCACAAGGTAAAATAAGTATATAAACGTGCATCCTCCCAAAAATGTTTTATAAACAAAAAACCACACTGGAATAAAGGCAAAGCAACAGAAGTTAACATGTTCTGATCCATCCAGAAAACTTCCTGGAACATGTACCTTGGTGTTGTGCCAAACCCCTGTTGACTGTAATGGAGATGGCACCACATTCGAGAGGCTGAAGAAGAGACTTGGGGCCAGCAAACAAGACAGGGGGTTTCACTGGGGCTTACATACTGGGGAGAGAGTGGCAGCTGGGCAGAAGAACTGCAACCGCTTGCAAAAGGTGTTTATATAACATTCTCACTTAGTACCCTTTACCTAACAACCTTCATCTGTCAACTTCATTCAACCCAAACTTAGGGCCTCAATCCCCTGTATGGCTGGTGTTCCATAGGATGGGTTAGGGGCTCAGATGTTCCTTATAGACAAGGAACAAATCTCCAGGTTGGCCACTCTTGGATTCTCTAGCTTGGAAAACACATTCAGGTACATATGCCATACAGGGTCATTCTCAGGGTACACTAAATTATTGCTTTCATGTGCATTTACCCTGCAGTTGGGTGTTGAATAGATGGGAAATAGCCATGCAAGCAACAGAACAGACATTCCATACATATGGATGGTTTGTGCAAGAGTTCAACAGTGAGAGTCAAAAGTTGGAGAAGATTTGTCTGAGCAGTTAGATATGCAATATGCAGTCAGACATTTTGCCTGTGAGTTTCTTTTTTCCAGAGGTTCCAGGAAAAGCCTCAACTTTAGACTTCTGTTTCTACCAAAACAGCAATATGCATGGAAAAAAATTGTTCTACACCTTCTGAAATTGCTTCAAGAAAGCTCTTGAGATTAGAGGGTGAATTATCCAAAAAATAAACAGTTCTTATCTCATATTTTAAATAACCCCTTGAAGTCAGGCAAGGTGGCTCACACCTGTAATCCCAGCACTTTAGGAGGCCAAGGCAGGAGGATCACTTGAGCCCAGAAGTTCAAGGTGTGCCTGGGCAATATAGTGAGACCCTATCTCTGGGAAAAAAAAAAAAGAGGGAGGAAGGAAGGATTGGCCAGGTATAGAGGTATGTTCCTGTAGTCTCAGCTACTCGGGAGGATTGCTTGAGCCCAGGAGGTCAAGGTGTGCCTGGGCACTGGGCAATATAGTAAGACCCCATCTTTAAAAAAAAAAAAAGAAAAATTAGCCAGGTAAGGGAGCATGTACCTGTAGTCCCAGCTACTCGGGAGGATCACTTGAGCCCAGGAGGTCAAGGCTGCAGTGAGCTGTGATTTCTCCACTGCCTCCCAGCCTGGGTGACAGAATGAGACTGTCTCTAAAAAATAAAAATTAAATAGCCCTTTGAAATTCTGGTCTAATATGTTTCTAAATGGAGATTCATGTTCTATATTTAAGAATAACCAATCCTTTTTATCCACAATCTCTTGGGGCTCCCACAACCTTTTCTAAATACTTCCCTTCCTACTGGTGTTAAAGCCAAAAGTTCAGTGAAGGATTGATGCTTTCACCTGTATTTATCTTACCTTGTTCAGTGTAGAAGAGGTAGAACTATTTATTGTCAAGAGACATCCTGATCATTTAATCAGAACTCAATTACTGATTTCCCAAATTTGTAAATTCCCAAGTAGGAATATGCAGGGCAAAGGGACTTGAACAATTTGTGACTTTATCTGCAAACTATCCTGTTCTTCTCTTGGCTAAAGAAAAAGCAGTCTTTTCTAAAATGCAAAGGACATTCTAGCACAGATGTGCCCTGCTGTGAATCAGCCAGATGTCCTGGATTTCCTGGCATAGTCCTGCTTTCCAAAGTCAGCCTTGTTATCCCTGTAAATACTGGAGCACGTCAGAGTGATTGTCACCGTGCTGAGTTCAACACCCAAGGTCTGTGCCCTACACCCTAATCCAAAGAATCACTACTTTTGATTTAGTGTAATATGAAGGCATGGCCTGTGGCATTGGTGTGTTTTCAGGCAATCTTATTTTCTCCTGCAGATGGTTTACAGAAACATCCACCGCTCTCCCATTCTTTGTTCTGGCCACAGAGGATTCCACTCCCTATAGCTGTTGGAAGCAGTATTCCCAGGTGTGAAATATGCACCTTCAGGACCTGAAGAGGCCTCCCACACCTCGAACTTGCTTTTTTATGCTGGAAGGTGCAAGAGGCAATGATTTATTTTTCACTTTAGAGGAAATATTCTAGCTACCTCTGGTCACTGGATTTCTGAATATTTTGCTGACATTTCAGGCTCTGGAATATTTGTCTCCCACCCCCTGGAGTACATGTGTCATGCCAATTCTAAGCCCATCCCACTACTGATATGGTGGATCAGTGAGGTGTTCCCTGGGATGTTCAATGATTCCAGGTTTCTCTTGACTACATTATGAAACAGGCAGTGGAGTTAATATAGTCCTGAGTCAAAATTGTGAAGGTATATTGTCACCCATTCCACATGGATATGAACTCTTTTTGATCCTCTTTTTTGATCAGACTAGAAAATAATACTTGGTATATCCATGCCCACATATGCCATATTAATCTGCTCTAGTAAAGATACCACATTTAGCACAATGGATATAATTGGGGATATTACTTTGAGTTCATGGGAATCTACTATCATCCTCCAGGGTCCATCTAGTTTCTTCAAGAACTGGACGGGTGAATTTGATGGAAATATGATAGGGACCATCACCTTTTAAAGGCTTAGGTGTAGCACAATTTCTGCCATCTCTCCTGGGAGGCGATAATATTATATATCTACTATTTGACTCAGCAGGGAGGCAGTTTTAGGGACTTCCATTTTGACTTCCTCATTATGTTAACTCTTAATCACAGGCCAAGGACCTATGTGGATATTGTGCCAACTATCAGGTGTGTCTATACCTTTGACTGGGGAAGTGACCATCAAGTGGGTCTTCAGGGCTGCATTGATTACCAGCTTCCTGTATGTGCTCATTCTAATGAAGGGAGGGTGTAATGACACTTAGGGACTCCAACTATCAATGTCAACTTGGGCCCAAGAGTCCTTGAAATGTTTGGCATCCCCAGTGTACAGCTGCCTAAATAAATAACTATATGTTTCTTTGGACAAGAACAGGGGAAATTCTTGTCATGAATACTTGCTGTGGTTCTGCAAGGTCCTTCGTCGTGGAGACCTGTGGTCATTCAGTAAATTATAGGTCTGAAAACTGTCTCAAGTTCAGAAATGGCAAAACCTTTTGACTTTCTATTTATCAGCTTCCAGCTTCCTTATTAAATATCCCTCAATTTCTTCTGATGGTACAAAATGACAAATTCTGTTACCTGTCTACCTTTGTAATCCTTGAGAGGCCGTGTTCTATTAATTCAGTGGTTCTCAAACTAGCTTGCATTGGAATAACCTGAAGAGCTTGTTAAACCACAGATTGCTGGGTCCTAGCCCCAGAGTTTCTGATTCCATAGGCCTGGGGAGGATCCTGAGAATTTGCATTTCTAAGTAGTTCCCAGGAGGTGGTGATGCTCCTGGTCCAGGAACCACTGTAATCATCTCCATAACTGCACATTAGGCCCCTTTTGCTGCCACTCCAACCTTACCACTCATTAGGATAATTGTATCCACCTGCCTTGCTTCAGGCAGTTACACATCATTACCTGGCCTCTTATATTGGGGTCCTATCATCACTGCTGTTATCCATTTGAGATCCTTTCCTCATTGCTTAACATTTTAGTGAGGCTGAATCCCCTCACCTGTGTATTCCTCATGGCCTTAGTAAATGGTGTGTCCTCTGTGCCTTTCTGTGAAACATAGTCCTTTGGAGGGTATTGGGGCCTCACATAAATATATAATACTTCCAGTCTAATATATCCACTTCCCTGAGCCTTTTAAGCCATTCTTCCATCTGCCAGGGAAATTCTGGCACTCCATCTTTGCTTAGTATGGGCCATTGCCTTTTCCATGCTGCTAGGAGCCATCCTAGTAGCAAGGTGACACCATTTCCTGGGGGCCTTGCCAAGGTGTAAATCCTGTGTCTCTGGAGAGTGTTCCCAAATCAATAAACTTTCCCTTCTCCAATCTTATGTTCCAACTCCTCTTGGTCAAGCAGCCTCAAAATCTAGTCCCGCTGGTACTGCCCTGACATCTGCCAGTATATATTGGCTAGGACTTGCAGCTTCTTTGGAATAGAGTGCCTTTTTTCCCTTATCAGGCTCAGCGTGTCCTGGGCTGATTATGAATTAATCCTACTTATACACCTAGTAGGCAGGAGGAGAGGTCGGGGGGTGGGGGGCGGATATTGAGAGCGGGGTATGTGCTGTCTTGGAGGAAAGAGAGAGCATTGTTTTTAAGCAAGAAGGAAATGCTAGCTTTAAGTACGGAGGATAGGCCACTTCTCCAGGCTCAAAGAATTCAGAGGCATTGTAGAGTGAACAACAGCCCCAGTTTGCCCAGTACTGCCTCAGTTTTAGCACTGAAAACCCCACATCACAGGAAACTCCCCTGTCACTGGAAAACCAAGAGAGTTCATCACCTTAAGATTCAGCATTTTCAGGGAATCGTCCTAGATGTTCCTATCCCGAGTGTCAGGGTCCTGTTTTTCCCCAACCATGGCTGGAGTAACAGTTCTGCCATAGTTGGGCATTTAACTGTATCTAGAAATCAGTACTATCTTTAGCTCTGAGCTCGACCCTCAGCTCCTCTACCCTCCTGCTGTAGGAAATGAACACCTCTCTGAAAACTACCAGGGAAATCTCATGGCTTACATATTTAGCTCTCAGTTGCCTATTGCCTGCATCTTTTTATTATCGAGGATATCAATGGCCCTCAGCAATACTCATGTAATCCCATTGTCCTTAGAGTTACTATTTCCCCCTCACTTCTCGTACACCTGATAAATCTCACCTGCTAGTGCATTCTCTTCTGTGGACATACTATTCCATTTGACCACCCACTGGACTGTCAATTAGTGCCAAGGGATGGCTGTATTTTATCTATCACCGATTAGGTCCTCATTGCCTGTTAGGTGGGTAGGGATTTGGCTCCAAAATCCCATCATTTTAGTTATTTTCTAGGGCCACTCTTAAATGTTTTTAGGTTGAGTTCTCAAGTAGCAGATGTGGAAATGGAGTGTGGCACAAAGGATATTTTTCTACGGATAAACAATTGTGGAAGGGAGGGTCAGGAGGCAAGATTAGGCAGAGAGACAGAAGAACTGGTACAGGTCCATGAAGCCCTGATCCACCCCAGCAATGAGTTCTGGAGCAGGTGTGGCCCATCTGAGTTGTTCCATATTGGGCTGAAATAGCCAGACTTTGATACCTCTGCCTCCCTCAGTCTGGATGTGAGCTACCACAGGAAGGGCTGAGAGGAGGAGCAACAAGTCTTCCCTTGAAGGGGGATGTGGCCAGCGCATTTCCATGTCTACCACACCAGGAGAGGAATTCAAGGAGGTTGGAGCTACTTTCATTCTGTTGGGCTACTATTAATTTATTTACAGGATAGGGAGGTTCTATAAACGGCAAAATGACATTTAATTTATTAACTTATGTTTTCTCCCTACCTGTTCCCCCTTTTATGTTTCCTCTTAGGAGATATTTGTCCCATTCCTTTCTTAATTTCCCCCGATCTTAAAGCCATTGTCCTGAAAATAGAGTTTGAAGAGAAAACAATTTCTCTGGAACTAAATAAAAGGTCTCACAAGAAATATAGACAAGCATGTTGTCTCATATTTCCCTATTTCCCTGTGTATGTAGCAGAGCCTCAGAGGGAGAGGTTACTGAGTAAATATAGAAGGCTGGGCTGTCCTGTGTTCTAGTCCCCGGCCAGGAAACTACACAGTGGTCGGCCTAAAGAGACACATGGGCTGACACCCAGCTGTCTGAGCAGTAATTTCCAATTGACACCCCACCACCATGCTGTGTGGGATCCCAGGACTCTGGCACAATCCTGAAATAGAAAAGGTAAGCATAAGAACATTGCTGCAAGAATAGCTTTGGATTTCCAGCTCACTTTCTTGTATGGGGGCATGGATTTAGAAGAAGTTTAGTGGGAGAAAATAAAGAGATATGATATTTCCTGCACACCTAAGTGTATGGACTGATTAAAACCCTGCTTCACATACGTAAAGGATGCCGTCATGCTGGTACCTCCATCCCTACCCCTTCTCTTAATTTGTCAGGCCCTCTAAGCTTCCCAGTCTGTCTTTAGGCCATATGGACCATATATTGACAGAAGATGCCAATAGGATGTTAAGCATTTGATGCAGAGCCTCCCCCTAGGTCCTCTCCTTCCATCTCAGAGCACACTTTCCCCTGCCCCCATCCCATTTGCTTTGTCTTGCATCGATCTAACCTCAATTCCAGTCCCACAAATGTTTGTTTATAACAGCACTTTAGGAAAAATAATTGGCCCCATCCATTCTTAGTTTTATTCTCAATATTTTTCACTCTCACATTCATTTTCCTTTCCTTCATATTACTCATCTCATATATGTATTTGTTTTATTTTCAAGTTCCACATATGTGAGGTTCCTTGACATTTCTAATTGTAAAACAATGAATTATAATACTTGTAATAAAAAGCCTCAAAATGCTACCTTAAAAATGAGCTCTCAAAGTGAAAACATACTAGTATTGATTTTAGAATTCTAACTAGTATTAAAATGAGTGCTTGTGCAGTGATATCAAGCAGAATTAAAGATAGAATGGGGGAAAGTATGTGTTTCAAAACCTCATTAGGAATATCCTGAAAAGAAAAAGTTGAGATTTATTCATATAGCAAGTCACTTAATGGGTCTCATTCAGATGTTTATCATGCTTCAGAGATGATTCCCCTTCATAAAACTCTGGCCTTATCAGCCCATCAGACATGTTGAGCAATGGTAGTGCTTCTGCTGAAGAGACATGCATTTTCTTAATTCTTCCTACAGTCATTCAAAGGCTCTGGCATCTTTATGCAGTCTCTCTGTAGTTACCTCCCTTGCCTCCATTCTTCAGCTCTCATCCACTTTATATCTGCAACCATTCTCACCTTACTGTGATTTTCCTGCATTCATTCCTCCATCAATTCAATAAATGTGATTGAATGCCTGCAAAGTTCCTGTCTAGGTACTGAGAATATGGCAACGAACAAAACAAACAACAATCTCTGCCTCAGGGGGGCAGTGGAGGGAAGAGACAGTAAACAGTTTAATGAAATATATATATATATATATATATATATATGAGTAACCACATGCATATGTCATTCCATGGATTATGGAGTTTTTAAACTCATGGGAGGGTGCCAGAGAGTAATAAGTGCAAAAAACAAGGGAAGGGGAAACAGTTTTAGATTGGGAATGGGGGTGGGAGGTCAGGACAGGCCTCACTGATGAGTTGATCTTTAAATGAAGACCTGATAGAGGGGTAGGAGTCCTGCATTCGAGGGAAGAATTATGAATTATCTAAGCAGAGCAGCAAGTGCAAAAGTCCTGCAGCAGGGCTATGCCCACCATATTTGAAGAATGGCAAGGACTGAGGGGACAAATAGCAGATGAGGTCTGGGAAGGAATGGGAGGTGGGAGCTGGATTAGGTACTCCTTTGAGGGGCATTGTATGGACTTGGGCTTCTCCTTGAGTGCGAGAGGAGCTATTGGAGGGTTCTTAACAGAGGAATGATGTAATCTACTTATACTTTAACAGGATCACTCTGGCTGCCCTGTTGAAATTGACCAAAGGTGGAAGTGACAGCGGCAGGGAGTCCAGTTAAGAGACCAGTTCAAGCATTTAGCTGAGACTGTGGTAATTTAGATCACAATGGCAGCAGGAAAAGGGAAGAGTTTACTTTGAAGGCATACCCTCCTAACAATCCATGCTCTAATCCTTTCTGCCTCCCAAGGGCTGATTCAGTCTTCCTAAAAATCCACTTTTCTCATGTTGCTTTCCTACTCCAGAACACCAAATAACTCCTTGCTGACCAAATCATGTTCTGTTGTTTTTTCTAGTACTCCTTTTGCAGCTTGGCAGTCTTCCTTTCTACTTGGTCCCCTTCCACTTCCCAGCATGAGCTCTCTATTCCAGTCCATTTGTTTTATTCCTCCCTCCCCCACACATACTACCTGCTAATCTAACCTCTGCAAGAAAAGCCCGCCCTCTCTTTTTTGCCTAGATCTTTCCATCCTGAAAGCCTATTTCAAGTGCCACCTGCTCTGTGTCTTCTCTAATGTTGAAAGCCAGTGTGAGCACCTTCGTTCTTTGGCTTGGCTCTGTGAACCTGCACCTCACATGCTCACAGTTTGGCTTGGCTTACATCATTTTGCACTATTTGCTGATTTATTATTTAGTGCTTCCATAAGTTCATAAGCTCACAAAGGCTGGGACTGGATATGTACTTTTGCATTCTTTATCCACTCCACAAAGATGAGACATGTAATATGTGTTTGGCAAGTGTTTGCTAGAAAGCACAAAATCTAACATAGAGTGTTCAAAACTAAGCTTTGTCATAGTGACCTGGCAACCTATTGAATATATTAAAGACACATGGAAAAACATGGTGATGCTAACTGCCACCTACAATTCCTTACCTGTGTTCTGAACTACTTCTCCAAATGAGTATTTCCTGGGATTGTAACACACTTTAATGCCTGCCTTCTAGGACTGTAGTGAAGATATCCTATAGATTTCACATACATAATACCTATCTCCTCCAGCACCCTGTGTGGCACTCCTCTAGGTGCCAAATAGCTGGCTGCCTTTCTCATTCCTTCCCCATTCTTCCTGCTCTCTCCCACTCTGGCTGCCCCTTTTCTGCTTTGTGTGGGTTATTTGCAGGCATCATTTTCAAGGATGAATCTCATCAACATCTGCTGAGCTGCATATTTATACAGGCTCCAGGTTTCCTTACCAGCTGTGGACATTTTTGCAAACTCTACATTACCACCTAATTGAAATGGCTGTTTGGTTCCATTTCCTTATTAAAGACAGATTAAGGAAATCAGTTCAATACCTTAGCCATTTTAAAGTCATCATGAATCTCATGCTCTTGATTTACTAGCAGGCTTTAAAAAAAAATGTGTCCCTACCCATCCATCTCCTGCTTTTGATCCCCCCTTGCTGGTATTAATGCACACTTCATTTTGGCTGGTCATTTCATTCCTCTTCGTCTAGTAAACATTTGCAGTTTTTGTTCAATCCCTCCTGGACCTCTTCTAATATACCTGTTTTTTCCTCACCCATAAATTTATTTTATCGTTTGAAGTTTGCAGTTCTTCAGGAGCTCGAATGGTGACAATGAAATGCAATATTTTGAGTTTCTTCTGGGGTGTCCTTGATAGCAGCATCCTTGTTTTCTCTGAAGACATTCCTGGCTCCCTGCCAATTCAGTCTTCTCAGTCCTAAGTCTTGCCATCTCAGTCTTCTCAGATACCGTAGCTGAGACCTCTCATCCCCCACCCATTTGCAGGCTCTGGGCCCAATCTCAGGCCTTGGCAGTAGAACGTGTTGAATCAATGTCATACATATTGAGGATATTTTCTGCCAGCCTGTAGCTTGACATGAACACTAGTAACTGGCCTACTGTTTGGATGTCCTGGACCCAAGGGCCTGACCTGATAACTTGTCTAGATCTTCAGGTTATCCAGTGTCCCCCTTACCCTTGCTGGTCCTTCTCGTGAGCCACAGACAAGGGCTCAGGGTCTGCTTTTGCATGTTGAAACACCCTGACCTAGACTCACATTTGGGCAGACAGTGTATTTAGCTCTCCATGCCCTATTAGGGTCATATACACCCATCAGGGATCACTCAAGATACTCCTCCCTGCTAAGTGCTCTCTGCTTGGGTAAGAGCTGCCACCTTATCCTCCAGATGGCATGCTGTGCCTTCCTCGATGGACATCTTTCTACCATCTGCTGCTTGACAGGAGGCTGGCTCGCCAGATAGTAGGTCTGACCTGTTTCATTACCAGCAAGCATCTCACTCTGATACCCACTGCTATATGAGTGTTTGATGATTTCTGCCTACTTCAGCAAACTTCGTAAGCTTTCTTCTCAATAGGAACATCTTCAGCAAAAGGAGCTACTAAACAGTGTTTGTTTCAATTCCTTCCACATCTTCTAAGACTATTTTCTATCTTCCAGCATCTTCTTTCTCAGTGTCCAAAGTCCTCCTGCTAGAGCGGGAGTTCTGACTACAGTCTGGCCTTTCCATGGTGATGCCCTGGGCTTAAGAACTGCCCCATCTTCTTTTTTTTTGCAGCTGACGTTCTGATGTGTTGATTCTGCAAAGCACACTCTCAGAGTCTGGTAAGTTTCTCTTGAAACTCTGAGGGTGTGCTTTGCACTGAGAGTATCATAGTTACTACCAAATGGTTCCATTTATGATATTTAAGGGAAGCCCTATGGGTAGGCCTACTATACATGGTTTGAAGAAAATATGCTATACACTCAATTATACTCTTTCCTCTATGAAAAGGAAACCTCTTTAAAACTAAAAAGCTTTAAACAATAATGAATTGTCCATTTTTCACTCCTTGTAGTAATAAAGAATTTTTAAATTATAATATTCAGTATTGAAAATGGGATAATATAAACTCTCATACACTGCTTCTAGGAATATAAACTAACACATTTTTCTGAAAAGCCCATACTCTCTGACCCAATAATTTCCCACTTAGCAACCTACCCTAAGGATATAGCAAAACAGTCAAAGATTCAAGTATCAAGATGTTTATTAAATTATTATTTAAAATAGCAAATATCGAGAAACAATACAAAAACTCATTAATAGGGAAAAGTTAATATATAATGATACATTTATACTGTGGAACATTATGCAGCCATTGAAATGTTTTCCAATAATATTTTAAAGCATGGGAAATGTTGATAATATTAAGTGAAAACAGTAAAATTCAAAATGCTATATTCTGTGATGTTGGTTATGTCACAGTGGTACAGTGTGTTCATGTGTTTGTGTATGTGTATATTCTATAAATAAGGCTGAGGTCACTACATTAAAACATTAACAGCACTCCTTTATGGGGTTAGAATAGATTTTTATTTTAATGTTTCTATGTTTTCTCAGATTTTCTGTAATAAACATGTATTACATTTATAACCTCAAAAATAGAATTAAAAAACACATAGATAGTTAGACTTTGAATTCAATGTAAGCATTTTTAGCTGCTGGAGCTGTTGAGTCATGGATCCTCCAGTGGTTGATAGGAGAAATAGTCAAGTAAAATAGTAATGTCCATCTTCCAGTGAGTTTTCTTATTACACTGCTTGAGGTTATTACAGCCTTTCAACTTCTTAGCTTATGTATGTAACTCTTATTTTTTCATGTTAAAGGGAAACTCTCAAGGGATTCAGTATGACAATCATAGTGGTATAAAATTGCCTTTGTTGAGATGAACCCATTGATATGGTTTGGCTGTGTCCCCACACAAATCTCATCTTGAATTATAGATCCCATAATCCCCACATGTCATAAGAGGGATCCAGTGGGAGTAATTGAATCATAGGGGTGGTAACCCCCATGCTGCTGTTCTTGTGATAGTGAGTTCTCATGAGATCTGATGGTTTTATAAGGGGCTTTTCCCCCTTTTGCTCAGCACTTCTCCTTCGTGCCATCATGTGAAGAAGGATGTGTTCGCTTCCCCTTCTGCCATGATTGTAAGTTTCCTGAGGCCTCCTTAGCCATGCAGAAATGTGAGTCAATTAAACCTCTTTCCTTTGTAAATTACCCAGTCTCAGGTATGTCTTTATAGTAGTGTGAGAACAGACTAACACACCCATGCAATAAGAGTGCTGGAATTTAAACTGAACAGCTAACTTTGACCATCATGTCCTCATGATTCTTGCTAGAGTTCCAGAGAAAAGTGTACAGAGTAGGCTCACTATATCAGGTCCTCCCTCTCTGGATATGAAAATGGCATAAACTGTGGAGCTTCTCACTAAAGGAAGTGCAAATGGACTCAAGACATACCCAGGAAGACGGAAAGTAATTTTGAACTTCAAGAACAAAAGGTGTCTTCTGACTGTTTTAAAGTTATTTCATTTTCCCTGAAACAAACTTTTTTAAGTAAAATCCTAGAAAAACTGCCCTGGAGTCTTTTGTGTGAAGAGTAAGAGAATGGATAGTTGGATGGAGGAGTCAGGTCCTCAAGTAAGAAAGGAGGCAAACCTCAGATGCCTTCAGAGTTGGGCCCACATGTGGTCTGGTGTGTTGAGCCACACTGCAACTATAGTGTAAAACACTGCTCCAGGATCCTCCCTTCCTCCCTGTTGGAGCTGACTTGCTCCAGTTGGAAGGCCTTGCAGGCAAGCTTTGAGCTCCTTGCCTCTCTCCCACATTCTAGTTGGGTGAGGCATCCTCTACCCCTAGGACTCCCACACTCGCCTCAGCTTGTAGCCCAACATCAGTCCTTTTCCCTTGGCACTGAGTTGCTCAGCTCTGAATTATGCATTCTTTACTATAAAGGCTATATTTTCCTAACCTCAAACCAGGACATGTGGAATAAGGATACTTTTCCTCAATTTGTCTTGGAAAAGTCTTTAAAATATACAAATTAGATCATATTTAGTTATATTTAGTAAAATGCTTCTTTTGAGTTAAAAAAAATGCATGAAATCAAGCTGTCCCAGCACTTCTGTTTCTTATAGCACTGTACTTATGGCTGACTGTCCTGAGAAAGCCCTGGAGAATCCATGAAGTCTTGCCCGGGATTCCCTCTCAACTCAGGCTGAATTACTCCAACCTAAATTTGGCAGCAGTCTTCCCTCTGATGCCCTTGCTCCTGGATAACTTTGTGCATAATTACTTTACCACCTATGGACTAGCAGGCTGGCGGCTTTCAGCCATCTCTAACCCTACTCCTAAAGGAGCTTTCGTGTTTTCACTTCTAAGCTTTTAAAACACTCTATATATTTGAAGACCATTTTTAAAAATTACATCTATCCTCTCCTATTTATCAGTGGTAGTTTCATTTTTTTTCAAAGGTCAACTAAAGACAGTTTATCTCAAATTACAAATTACTTGAAGCAAGTATCTAAATAATCAATTCTAACTATGGAGTAGGCAGAGAGGGAGAAACTTCAGGGGGCTTCCCAGAGGCTTTTGAACCACACTGGGTGGGTAAGTACCCCCTCTTCTTTATAAGGTCTCCTTTATCTCTAAGATCTTGATCTTCGAAGTATGAACTGTTCTTTCTTGAATTCCAGGAAGATTCAAATATCTCATGGATGTGATGTGACGCAGGATCTCAAAGACAATGAGAACTCAGGAATTTTTCTTAGGGAAGAAGGAGAAACGTCTCAGGATGTTCTTTTAAAGATAGTTTCTTATCTTGGTCCCCTTACTTTAGAAGATGAAGATGCTCTCAGCCAAATGTAATGAGATGAGCTGTCGCCCCACTCCCTTTGACTTATACTGTTTTTGAGCCGGTCGATAAAGCACAGAACTGTCGCAACCAACTCAGGGCTTGATGATGGTGTAGGCTGGCAGCTGTGCCTTGTGCCCTGGCTATGGAGAAAGCCCATGTTCCTAGCCTGAGGCAACCAAAAAGAGACAGAACATAGAGAGACAGAACATAGAGAGACAGAATGTAAGAGTGTTCAGGAAAAGTGCAAATCCACCCCCCAAGGTAAACTTCACTCAAAATGCTTGTCCTGCTGCTGGAGAATAGCAGTGGCACCTTTTTCACTGCAAAGGAGAAAGTTGCTGTGATGCTAGGTTCTAGAAGTTCTTATTTAAAACCATTGAATATTCTGTTTTATAAAATGGAAAGCCAAATAAAAGGTTTTCTTTTTTAAATCCATTGTGACAGAATGGCCTTGAAGTATATTAATAGAGTCACCATTAAAGAAGAGGAGGGAGAAACAATGTCTTAGTTCCATTTTAATCATTGATTTCCCATGGAGATTTAGATAAACTTGTTTCCTTCTCCCTAATCATCTCCAAGAGTGGAAAGGAATTCCCCCACAGAATTTTAATGTGGGAAGGAACCCTAGAGAATGTCAAGCCTTAAGGCTTACCAGGAAAAAAAAAATCAGACATTCAATAGAATCTTAGAGCCTGCTCTACTTCCTGAGAGATTCATAAAGGTCATTGATTCTCTCGTTTGAAATGTAATCACCCAGGAAGACTTGATGAAGCAGGAAAGGAAGGGAGAGAGCTAGAATTACCCAAGCATTTAAAAATATAAATCAGTAGAAAAAAAAGTAGTTTTATTAAATGATAGATAGGAAATGAAACAAAATAAGGTCTTTGAAAATAGTTGACTAGTGATAGATATAAGCTATGAAATATACATTTTAAACAATATACAGTAATAATAATACTGAGAATCAATACTTACCCAGTGTTTGCTACAAACCTAGTTTGTCCTGAGCGCTTTACATTTGTGTTTATATTAAGTCACTTAATTCTTATGAGGTAAGTAGGATATTATTATCCAGACTTTACAGATGAGGGCACTGATGAATAGAGAGATGAAATAACTTGTCCAAGCCTATAAATAAGAGGTTGCAGAGCTGGTATTTACAGCTTAGCAGTCTTGCTTCAGGATCTGCACTCTTAACCAGTATACATACACACCATGCATTGAAGGTAGTTCCTGTTCAATGGTTCCACTCTGTTACCCAAAAAAATCTCGATCATCTCAGGCATTTATTGAGCACCTATGGTGTGCAAGTTAATTGGGCCAATTCTTACAACAATCCAAAAACTTTTGTTACTCAAGTAAATCTCAATGAAAATACTTCAGTGAGCATTCATTGAACACTCATTTGAGTCACTTCTCATGAAACTTTGAGGGGTAGTTTTCGTTACTGCTGTTTTACAAGTGAGGAAACAGATTCAGAGAGGTGATGTTCAGAGAGGTAAAGTAACTTGCCCAAGGCTACGCGGCTATTTAAGAAAGAGAGTGGATATTTGAATATGTGTCTATCTGAGCTCAAAAGTGCATTCCTTTCACTATTCTACCCTAAGAAATGCAAATGAATAATATCTGAATTTATTTTGCTTTCCATATTTTTAGTTTTTAGATATATTTATTAAATTTACCTGTGAGATCTTCATTAAACAACAAAATAATAGTCAGTTAACCCTAACTACTTTCTTTTAACCTAAGACCGTACACATATTTGCTTTGAAAACAGTCACATAAAGAATAACTGAAGGGACAAACAATATAATTAATATTCTCAACATAATACCTGGTTGGGTCACACATATGACACACATATGACTATTATGTCAACTTGAACTTGAAGGATCTTCTATAGAGATTTCAGAAATAGAACGAGAAATAGTGCCTGCTGTTTCAAATCAGCCACTTGCCACTGATTCTGGTTACAACTTCTTACTTGGCCAATGATGAGCCAAAGCTGAATTATAGACTTTGGGCTTCTCTATAGTCTCCTGGTAGTCCAAAAAGCAGCTGATTTATCTGTCAGATCTGTGTACTAAATGAAATTGCCCAGATAAACAGATGGCCTGGCCAGGGTGGTATTTCACAGCAACATGTGTTTGTTTGAATAACATAGTCATAAACCTTTCACTCTGGGTCTAAAATTAAATTGTGACTTTTGGATGTTACCTGGGGCTACACAGGAGAAAGCATTCAAATGTCAAATTTATGGCTTGGTTTTTATCAGTAAGTTTTATATAATTTTCTATATTCATTTATAAGAAAAACATAAAACATGCATGTTTTGAATGCATGGCTGGGAGAGAATGGAGGGGAGTATTGCATATAAAAATCCAATCCCCATGATTCTGATTTACAACTAAACAGACAGATTAATGCATAGGTTTGTACGTTATCTTACAAAAAATATGGTTCACTGCCATTTTGAGCCTGAAATGTTACATTCCAACACAACAGCAGGCCAAGACTTTGGGATTCACTCACTATAGGGGTATTGATTGTCACTAAATCTTTAAAAATTAAGAGGAGGCAGGGAAGAAAGCTAACAGTTTGTATAGCATTCTGCTCTAAATGGTAATCAGATGTTCTAGCTATGAATCTTGAAATTGTATCCCTCAGGAGAGCCAAGGATGATGCAGGTAGTATGGCATACTGATCAAAGGTAGGATAGGACAAATAAGAAATAAAGCAGAGTCAGTAATGCAGTTCTGTACTATTTTCTCCTCATAGTCTATATTTGTAAATAATAAGACTGAAATTTTTTGTCTTATTAGAATCACACATTATTATTTGGATATTCTAATAATCCCCCTCCCATTCTTTGTGTTTATCTGACTACTATCCATATGAATAAAAGGAATGGCCATATTCTTTATAATACTGTGATGGAATAGCATTATGGAAACCATTTTCTCTTTTCTATTTACGATTATGTTACGGCATTCTAATAAACATTTTATTTTGAAATAACTATAGATTCACAAGCAGTTGGAGGAAACAATACAGAAGATATACCCTTTATCCCCTTTCCCCCAGTGGTAACATCTTGAAAAACTGTAGTACAATATCACAAACAAAAAATTGACATTGATACAATTCATGGACCTAATTCAGATTTCACTAGTTTTACCTGTATTCACTTGTGTGTTTATGTATTTAGTTTGATACAGTTTTATCACATGTATAGATTCCTGTGATCACTACCACAGTCAAATACAATTCCTCAGAAGGATTCCTCAGGCTACCCTTCTAGAGCTGCAGCCACTTCCTCCTTCTCCCCAGTCTCTAACCCCTGACAACCACTAATCTGTTCTCCATCTCTATAGTTTTGCCATTTTTTGAATTCTATATAAATGGAATCATATAATATGTAATCTTTTGAGATTGGCTTTTAAACTCAGCATAATTCCCTTGAGATCTAACCAACTTGTATTCCTTGGTATAGATCTATTACAGTTTGTTTAATCATTCACTCCATTGAAGAGTAAATGATTAAACAAACTATGGCTCATTTCTAGCTTTGGACTATTATGGATAAAGCTGCTATAAACAATTGTGTACAGATATTTGGGTAAACATCAATTTTCATTTCTCAGTAACAAATGCCCAAAGATACAATTGCTAGGTTTTATGGTAAGCACATATTTAGTTTTGTAAGAAGCTTCCATACTCTTTTCCAGAATAGCTACACCATTTTACATTTCTACCAGCAATATGTTATATTGTTTTTATAATAATAAAATGAAATTCCACACATCTTTGATAAACCAGCTTAATTTAAGTTCTCAGGGAGTTTATCCTTCCCTCATTACTTTTATCTGTCTTCAGTTCTATCTTATATTTCATAATATTTGAGCCATTCATTCACATTTGTGGCCTTTTAATATTTAAACATTATTTTTTATTTTAAAGTCTCATTCCAACTAAATTGAAAACTCTGTGCATCCTAGGATTATTTTTCTTTGGTATTTTCCTCACAGAACCTGGCACAATAATTAGTAATTAGAAAATGGTTTTTGAATGATTAGAGTTGAATAGATAAAAGGCAACGTGAATCAATAAAACACACTGTCATTTTCAAAAAATTACCAACTTTCTCTTTAGAAGTGATATTATCAGACTTGGTATACTCTAGAATCATTTTTATTAATCAGTTTACAATAGATAAGCAAATTGAATGTCTGATTATTCTATTTTCTTCCCAAAATCACCTTGATGCTTTCTCTATAAAGATGTTAAACCACTATGGAAATATAAAAATATTGTAACAACTTATTAATTAGAATTATTTAATTTAATTACTGCTTTTTATTGCCTTTCTCCAGATATTCTCACTTGGCCATCCTGGAATAAATGTCTTACAACTAGCTTTCTGGAGGGGGGAAAAAAGCCCTGATTTATAGCATTTGCCAATTTTACAATTATTTCCATAATGTAAATACTCCTGCTATGGCCAATTTCATGTTACCATTTTGATGCCACTGAATGCAGGTTTTGGAAAAAACACTTAGAATAGGTTCTCGTGAGTCTGTACGAGCTGGCTCCAGCACACCAGTGCTAGGGACATATTAAACTGAACTATTGGAAAATGCTCTACAATATATAATTCAAATGAATCATCTGTAATATGGACACACTGTGAGTTTTTGAGTGACATTGGTCTCAAAAATCTATTTTTTTCAGCAGTAACTTCTAATGTTTATTGCTTTCCCAGAAGTGGCCCAGTCTTCTCCCATTAATATCTATTCATCCGTGTCTGTGCTCAGATATCTCTTTCTTAGAAAAGTTTCCACTGACCACTCTCCATCCCCAATTAAAGTCAGAACCACATGTTATAATTCCTTATCACCGTCTTTTCTTTCGGAGAACTGTATATAATTTATGAATATATATTATTCATATATAATTCATAAATTTACATAATTCATATAATTTATGAATATATATTATATATACCTATAACTATATAATTCTCTGAATATACATTATATATAAGAACAAGTATATATACATACACGTGTATATATATATACACAGTGTGTATATACATACACGTGTGTATATATATATACACACTTGTTCTTATTTAATGTATATAATCTTTCTAGACTAGAAACTACGTGAGAACAGAGACTATGTCTATTTTATTTATCTCTAGCCCTAGTAGCACAATGACTAGATGGAAAAATAAATTCCCATTCATATCCAACTTGGTGATGCCATCTCTTTTTTGTATTGGGTGGCACTGCCTCTGCTCACTTAGCCCATGGGCTTTTTAATTGGGTAGGACATCAAAGGACAATAAAAGCAAGCTATTGCTCTTCCAGCTGTTCTCATCCCCAGTCATGCCCACATGAGCAAAACATTCTGCACTATTACCATTTGTTGGAAATGGGATGCTGGGGGGGTGGGGGGGCTTATTTCTTTAATTAACATTTATCAACTTTTTTCTCTTGTTCTATTGTTTTTCCTGTTCTTACCATAAAGTAGTCACTTGTTCAACTGGTTCATTCAATCCTCCAAATTTGCCTGTTTCTGGGTATTGCCTTTAATTTTACCATTGTTATCCTTGTTTTGTCATTATAGAAGAGGCATTAAGTGATCTTGTTTGTGTCTTTGTTGTTGTATCACCCACACAAATTGAAAAGCAAGAAAAAGAAAGATTATCTTTTCTAATTTTTCCCCCTCTTCCCCCACTAAAATATAAAAGCATGTGTATTAGTCAGGGTTCTTTAGAAAGACAGAACCAGTAAGATATATAGACATAGATATAGATATAGATATAGATATAGATATAGATATAGATATAGATATAGATATAGATAGATATATATAAAAGAAGGCATTTATTAGGGGAATTGGCTCATGCAATTACAGAGACTGAGAAGTCCCACCACAGGCCTTCTGCAAACTGCAAACTGGAGACCTTGGGATGCTGGTAAAGTGGCTCAGTCCAGGTCCAAAAGCTTCAGAACCAGGGAAATCAATGGTGTAACTCTCAGTCTGAGGCTGAAGGCCTGAAAACCTTCTTAGGTGGAGTTGGGACTGCTGATGTTAAGTCCTGGAGTCCCAAGGCTGAAGAGCTGTGGGTCTTGATGTCCAAGGGCAGGAGCAGAAGAGTGTGTCTCAGCTCAAGGAACGAGAGGAAATCCTTTCCTCTGCCTTTGTTTCATCCTGGTCCCCAGCCAGTTGGATGTTGCCTGCCCACACTGAAGGCAGATCTTCTTCACTCAGTCTACTGACTCACATGCCAGTCTACCCTGGAAATACCGTCCAGGAAACACCTAGAATTAATGCTTTACCACTTCTCTAGGTATTTCTTAATCCATTCAAATTGGCACCTAAAATTAACCATCACTGCATTTTTAAAATATTGAATGCTCTATCATCTGGGATCTAAAACAGTACCTGCCACAAAATAGGCGTTCAGTAGACATATGTTGAATGAGTGAATGAATGAATTTATATCTGAATCATTTTAACAAATAAGAAATGTATGTGGTACATTCTAGACAGAAATTCCTGAGAACAGATGTTCTGCATGAAAACACGAAAGCACTAAATATTTTTAAAACAATCTGTTAATAAAAATAACACAAATTAGCAACCAAATACATCTGAAATTGAAATAATTGCTAATTTAGCAGAGAAAAGGTCAATATATAATGTAATTGATCTTTGTCCTTCCCTACTATACACCTTTCAGACAATGGGTGTTGAAAGTACCAATTTTCTGAATTAACAGCTAATAGATTTTTATCTTCAGTAATAATACTCTACACTTATGTGACACTTTATAGATTACAAAATATATTTCATTGTCACATTTGATTATTATACAAACAAAATATTTTATGTGCTTATAGTTGGGTTACATGCTATTGAATACAAAAGAAATAAAGATGGAGTGTCAGAGTATGCTAGTGAACTTCCAGAATCTGTTTCTTCTTTCATAGAAACAAAATTACCAATTTTGAGCTGGACATAGACCAACAACTAAAATATGTGATAATATTCACACTGTCCTGCAACAAAGCTAAGAAAATTCCATTTTGGTCAATGGAATTTAAGTGAAAGTGTAGACAACTCGTCCCTTAAAGGGAAGAGACATGCACTTTTTTTATCCCTCCCTACACCTTGGAATGTATATATAATGGCTGGATCGCTAGCGTTTATTTTAACCATGAAAACAAGGGCCACAACTGTGTTCATCTTATCCTCCATTGTATTTCCAATACTCAGCACAAGCCATGGAACATAGTAGGTATACAATAAATATTGTCTGAAAAAATGAATACACATGATTTCCTTTATCAGTTTCTCTTCTACTTCTACTTTCTTCTTGGAGAGGCCTGGACAATTATATTCTTAGGAAGTAGGTATGATAATAGAGATAATAAATGTCCACATTTGCAGTCCCATGCCATGCCACAAATCATCTCTAGCCACTTACACAGTTCATTAGCTCCATAAAACTACAGAACTCTTAGGAATTCCCCATTTGTAATTCTTGGGAGAGTCACTGAGTGTAAGCCTTCACCATAGCATAAGGAACTTGTGCAAGATAATTTTTTTTTTTTCTTTTTTTGAGACAGAGTCTCACTCTGTTGCCAGGCTGGAGTGCAGTGGTGCAATATCCGTTCACTGCAATCTCTGCCTCCCAGGTTCAAGTGATTCTCCTGCCTCAGCCTCCCAAGTAGCTGGGATTACAAGTGAACGCCACCACGCCCAGCCAGTTTTTGTAATTTTAGTAGAGACGGGGTTTCACCATAATGGCCAGGATGGTCTCCATCTCCTGAGCTCGTGATCCACCCGCCTCGGCCTCCTAAAGTGCTGTGGGATTACAGGCATGAGCCGCCGTGCCCAGCCAAGAGAATTTACGTCACTAGGTGGACACCAGATAAGATATATTTTAGTAAGTTAATTTTAGTAAATTAATTTAGTAAGTTAATTTGAGAAAAGGAAGCAGAAGACCTAATGAGACACAAAGTATGATCAGAGACAGAGAGCAGAGAAGAATTAATGTCAGGAGGGAACAGAGGTCTGCCATTGGGGTATAATTCATGTCTCAGAGGCCGGCAGAGTAGGTGTTGGGGCTGGGGCTGCTGCATAGGCAGTAACTTTTGCCCCCAGAGTTCTCACAGGTATCATTCAGTCACTGACAATTTCTGCGATTTTATGACCAACTTTATTTAAAAGTTCATTTTGCAGTATCTGTCTCTTGTCATTGCATATTGTTTCAAGGTGTAATTATTCTAAAGCTTTTGAGAAAAGATATAGATATATTTTATGGCTATACAGCATATTTCCAAGATCATTTAAAATATCCTAAACTCACAAACTTCCAAAGTTTCTTAGTAAATTGCTCAGGTAAAATAACATTAGTGTAGTATCAGAAAGGCTTCAAGGAACTTTATACAAAGTAATAGCGTGTTTCTACTACCTTACTGATTTGAAAGATAATGCTTAGCAACATCCAATAAAATATCTTGAAATATTAAGGATTCTCAGTCTTACTGGACCCCAGATGGACCCACTGCCTATTTTTTATAAAAGATGGATTTTGTGTGTGTGTTTAATGGTGGTATTTTTTGCAGTAGCTAATGCCAAGATTTCAGTAGAGAAATTTGGTGCTGGAAATATTTACTATAGTGCTGGCACATAAACCAAGAGCTATCAGACTTTAATGCTTTTTTCCCTAAACTTTTTATAGGCTTTCATTTTTAATTGTTGCCAATCTGCTGATTTTATTTTAAATAGATACTTCAAGGCTGTGCTTTGTCAAAACAGACAGATGTATCATTAAATTCCCTCCCAAATTACACATTAGGCAATGTCTTTGTTTCATGTGCTACAGAGGTATTTGAATTTGTTATAATCTGGAGTTAAACAGGAGGCCAGAGAGCTGATTTTCAGAGCAAAATACTCTATAATTTAGAATTGATTGCTGTGATTGCGTATAGTTTGGTGAAATGCACATTGGCCAAAGTGAAGGTGGGCATGGTTCTTTGTGCTCATTCTTGTGGGTCATAGGGGCATGGTTTTGTTGGAAGAGTCTAGTGGAAGAGTCCATATCAGAAATCTCTGGGATTGCTTTTCCCATCTTTTAATCATCTCTTTAAAGAAAAGAGTGAGGAATATTGAAAAGTGATTCTCAAATATTTCTTTTCAATTGGATTATGTAGTAGTTTCCAATGGCTGCTGTTACAAATTACCAAAAATGTAGTGGCTTAAAACAACACAAATTTAGAATCTTACAGCTCTGCAGAAGTCTGAAATGGGTCTTACTGGGCCAAAATTAAGGCATCAGCCGAGCTGCATTTGTTCTGGGGGCTTGAAGAGAAAATTTATTTCCTTGTTCTTCCAGCTTCTAAAAACTGCACACCTTGGCTCATGGCCCTTCCTTCATCTTCAAAGCTAGGAGGGTACCATCTTCAAACCTTCTCTTACTCTGACCTTCTTGATCCATTTTTCGCTTCTAAGAACCCTTGAAATTACATTGAATTCCTCCACAAAATACAGGATAATATCCCTCCTGCAATATCCTAAACTATCTCATTTTCAAAGTCCCTTTTGCCATGTAAGGTTACATTTTCACAGGTTCTAGGGATTAGGATCTGGACACCTTTGTCAGGTAGTTATTCTGCCTTCTATGGGTTATGTATCTAATGGATGCGTATTAAGCAATTTCTGTGTGTAAGGCTTTTTTAAAAAAGGTGAAAGCTCGTGATAGATTTTCTTCCAGCCTGGACAACTAAGTCTGGAAAACATCTTTTAAACAAACAAATCTAGTTAATGGTTTTAACAAATGTAAAGAAGTGGAGGCCATTTTGAGGAAAGGAGCCTATTTTTCAATAACAGAGGCATCTAAGTAAATTGAAGCTTTATGAGAACTAGATGCATATTGTTGCCCATTGTACCCACCTGATAATACGCAAGACAGTGATGCTACAATATTCTTTAGTGACCTCTTGTTTTCTCATCCCATAAAGAAAATCCAAGACCGAAATCTCAGAATTGGGAGAGTAAAAGTTCAAAAGAAAGGAAAAGAAAAGAAAAGAAAAGAAAAGAAAAGCGAAAGAAAGAGAGAGAAAGAAAGCAAGCCTGATTATCTTGTTCACATTCTGGTTCACCTGGTTCAAAGGTTGAGGTTAAAATATTATCCTAAAAAGGTAATTTGTGGGAGGGGCTTCAAGATGGCTGACTAGAAGTATTTCATGCCCACTTCCTCCATTTGGAAGAACCAAAATAGTATATGGACAGTCACACTTTGAATACATGATCCAAGAGAATACTGGAATTTAACACAAAAGTGACAAGAAACATCAAAAGTGGGAAACGGGAAGGAAGAGAGGTAGCCTGCTTGGCCAGTATTGGCTGGGAGCTGGGGGTGGCTTTCCAACATGCAGAAAGGGTGAATGAGAAACTTCCAGCAGCTCACATCCCCATTATGATGTTATGTGATCTGGGCCACAAGAGAATCACTTGACTCTCCCTACCCCTGTTACTAACATAGGGAGCTTCTGGGAAACAGAACAGATTTGCAGTCCCAATTCTGGGATACTCTGGGATGAGATGGAACTGCTCCAAGGAAGGAGCTTGTGCTGTGGCCCACACCCTTTCTGAGATCTAAATGTCTTCAGCATCACACTGTTTTCCTTTATAGTGATGCAAATGGACCAAAACCACAAAGAACTCAAATGACTCAACAGGAAAAAAAAATCCCAGTAAAATGTGGGCAAAGGACATGAGCAGACATTTCTCAAAAGAGGACATACAAGTGGCCAACAAGTATTAGAAAAAATGCTCACCATCACTAATCATCAGAAAAGTGCAAATCAAAACCACAATGAGATATCACCTTACCCCAGTCTCCAGTCAGAATGGCTATTATTGAAAAGACAAAAAATAATACTTGTTGGTGACAATGTAGAGAAAAAGGAACTCTTATACACTGTTGATGAGAATGTAAACTAGTACAAGCACTATAGAAAACAGTATGAAGAGTTCTCAAAAAAAACAAAAATAGAACTACTATACTATCCAGCAATCCCACTACTGGGTATCCACCCAAAGTAAAAGAACTCAATATATCAAATGCATACCTGCACTCACTGGTTTACGGCAGTACTATTCACAATAGCAAAAATATGGAATCAACTTTAGTGTTCATCAATGGGTGAATGTATAAAGAAAATGTGATGCACACACACACACACACACACATATACACACAATGGAATACTATGTACCCATAAAAAAGAAATCATCTCATTTGCAGCAACATGTATGGAACTGGGGGTTATTATCTTAACTGAAATAATCCAGGCACAGAAAAAGACAAATGTTATTTTTTCTCATTTATATGTGGGAGCTAAAATATTTGATTACATGTAGATAGAGAGTAGAATGATAGATAACAGAGACTGGGAAGAGTGAGTGGGAGGAAAGTGTGAATGAAAAGAAGTGGCTTAAAGGGTACAAACATACAGTAAGATAGAATAAATAAATTCAATGATTTATAGAAGAGCAGAGTGACTATACTTAACAAAAATGTATTGTACTCAGGAGACGGACACCCTAAATAACCTGACTTGATCACTATGCATTATGTATATGTAACAAAACTTCTCATGTGGGTCATTAATGTGGTTTGAATATTTGTCACCTCCAAATCTTATGTTGAAATGTGATTTTCAATGTTGGAGATGGAGCCTAGCGGAAGGTGTTTGGGTTATGGGGGCAGATCCTTCACGAATGGCTTGCTGCTCTCCCCACAGTAATGAGTGAGTTCTTGCTCTGTGAGGTCATGTGAGATCTTGTTTGAAAAGGAGCCTGACACATCTCTCTCTCTCTTATTGTCTCACCATGTGATACGCCTGCTCCTCCTTCACCTTCTGTTATGATTGTAAGCTTCTGAGGCCTCACCAGAAGATGAACAAATGTTGGTGCCATGATTGTACAGCCTGAAGAACCATGAGCCAAAATAAACGTCTTTTCTTTATAAATAATCAAGTCTTATGTTTTCCTTTATAGTAACACAAATAGACTGACACAGAAAATTGGTACCAAGAAGTTGGGCATTGCTATAAAGATACCTGAAAATGTGAAAGCAACTTTGGAACTGGGCAAGGTGCAGAGGTTGAAAGAGTTTGGAGGGTTCAGAGGAAGACAGGAAGATGAGGGAGAGTTTGGAACTTCTTAGAGAGTTTTTAAGTATTTTGACCAAAAGGTTGATAGAAATATGAACAGTGAGGTCTACTGAAGTGAAGACCTTTAAGATGAGGTCTTATATAGAAATGAGGAAGTTACTGGGAACTGGAGCACAGGTCACCCATGTTATGCCCTAGGAAAGGGCTTGGCTGCATTGTTTCCATGTCCTGGAGCTTTGTGGAAGGTTGAACTTAATGTGCCACAGCTACTTTTAAAGCTTAGATCAGATACAGGAGCAAAGAAATGACTTTAAGTTCAAAGTTATATTTAAAAGGGAAGCAGAGCATAAAAGTTTGGAAAATTTGCAGCCCAGTCCTTTGGTGGAGAAGGAAGGAGCATTTTCAGAGGAGGAATTCAAGTGGGCTGTGGAGAACCACTTGCTAGAGAGATCAGCATGACTGCAAGGGAGCCAAATGCTAATAGCCAAGACAATGGGAAAAAGACCTTGAAGGCATTTCAAGTCTTTGTGGCAGCCGCTCCCATAACAGGCCCAGAGACTTAGGAGAAAAGAATGGCTTCATGGGCCAGGTCCAGGGCCCTGCTGCTCTGTGTAGCCTCGGGATACTGCTCTCCACATCCAGGCCGCTCCAGCTCCAGCCTCAGCTAAAATGGCCCCAGGTACAGATCCACCTGCTGCTTTGGAGGGCACAAGCTATAAGCCTTGGCAGCTTCCACACAGTATTATGATGTCTGTGGACACATGGAATGCAAGAGTGAAGGAGACTTGGCAGCTTTCACTTAGATTTCAGAGGATGTATTCAAAAGCCTGGATTCCCATGCGGAAGCCTGCCACAGTGGCAGGGCCCCCACAGAGAGCCTCTCCTATGGCAATGCTTGGAAGAAATGTGGAGTTGGAGCCCCCACACAGAGCTGCCACTGGTGCACTGCCTACTGGAGCTGTGGAAATGGCATTGCTGCCCTCCAGGCCCCAGGACAGTAGAACTACCAGCGGCTTGCACCCTGAGCTTGGAAAAGCTGCAGGCACTCAACTCCAACCCATGAGAGCAGCCTTGGGGCTATACCCTGGAAAGCCACAGGGGTCGAGCTGTCCAAGGCCTCAGGGGTTCACCCCATACCTCAGCGTGCCCTGGGTGCAGGGCGTCGAGTCAAGGATTACTTTGGAGCTTTAAGGTTTAATGTCTGCCCTGCTGAGTTTCACACTTGCATGGGGTGTGTTGCTCCTTTCTTTTGACTGATGTTTCCCTTTTGAAATGGGAATGTTTACCCAATGGCTGTGCCACCATTGTATCTCAGAAGTAAATAACTTGTTTTTGATCTTACAGGCTCATAGGTGGGAGGAACATGTCTTGAGTCTCAGATGAGACTTTGGACTTGATGTTGAAATGAGTTAAGACTTTAGGGACTATTGAGAAGGCACAATTTGTATTTTGCAAAGTAAGGACATGAGATTTTGGGGGCCAGGGGCAAATAATATGGTTTGAATATTTGCCTCCTCCAAATGTCATGTTGAAACTGATTCCCAATATTGGAGGTGAGGCCTGGTGGGAAGTATTTGGGTCATGGGGGCAGATCCTTCATGAATGGCTTTGTGCCCTCCCTGTGGTAATAAGTGAGTCCTCACTCTGTGAGTTCACGTGAGATCTGATTACTTCCCCCTTCTCTCTTACTTTCTTGCCATGTGATATACCTGCTGTCCCTTCACCTTCTGCCATAATTGTAAGCTTCCTGAAGCCTCACCAGAATCTGAGCAGATGTTGACACCATATTGTACAGCCTTCAAAACTGAACCAAAATAAACCTCTTTTCTTTATAAATTACACAGTCTCAGGTATTTCTTTCAAGTAACACAAATGGACTGACACAACCATAATTTGTAGAAATGAAAAAAGGGCCTGTGATCCCAGCGCCCTGAGAGACTGAGGCAGGAGGATCACTCTAGGCCAAGAGTTTGAGACCAGCCTGGGCAACAGAGCAAGACCCCCTTCTCTACAAAAAAATTTAAAAATATAGCCAGGCATCATGATACACACCTGTAGGCCTAGCTACTCCAGATGCGCAGGCAGGAGGATCACTTAAGCCCAGGAGTCTGAGGCTGCAGAAAGCTGTAATCATGTAACTATATTCCAGCCTGGGCAATAGAGCAAGACCTTTCCTCTATAAAAGAAAAAAAGACAATTTAAAATCTTCAGAAAAGGTATCTCTGGATGGACAAATATGAAGCATGGTATTGGAGCATCTTGAAATGAGGATGGTAGGGAATTTTCTGTCAACTCTGACAGCTGCCATGTTTTGTGAATGATGTGGCTTACCAAGTTGTATGAAAAATTGTATGAAATGAGTATGCCTTACAGAGTAAGCTAAGCAACTGAGGAAAATTTAATTGGTTTGAATATGATAGAAGAAAAGCAAGCCCTGCATTTTATGTGGAGCCATTATTTGAGAAGCCTGTGCATTGTTATTAGTAAGTCTTACTAAATTCTGAAAATGTTGTCTTTGGTTCTAAAACCATCCCTGCTTTTAAGACTAAATGTTTTCTGTTCCTTTTAAGGCCTCCAGGGTGCATTTAAACCTCCCTTTCCTACCTGAAGTTTGTCATGTGTTAGCCACTTTGGTTTCCACTGAGTGAAGCAACATCCCATTGGGTTTTAGAGGTGCTTCAATCAATTTCTTACAGGAACTCCCTTGTGACTACCAAATCAAGTTTTCTCTTTACCTTCCAGGAAAATATAGACACTTTCATATATCCTCCAAGTTCTTTGGGCCACTTAAACTCGGGGAAGGATATATGTGGGTCTTTCCATGCATTTCTGTCATTAGAGGTATTTGGGCTGCCTCGCTGAGGGTAATCCTGGGCACCCACTACCAACATGTGCCACAGACAGTGGCAGACTTTCTACTTTTAAGGTAGCTCTTTTTCTGTGTTTTCTTTTTTCTTATTAAGATAAGAAAAAGGAATTGATGTTTATTTCCAGAGCCTCTTTTTCACTATATAAAGTAGTGATTATTGATGTTCAACTGTTTTTTAGTTAATTTACCTATTCATTCATTATTCACTTACTGAGTATTCTATATACAAGGCACTGTGCTTGGAATTCTTTTCATATTCTATTTTTGAATGCAAAGAATAGGCAGAATAAACACATAGAAAAGAGAGACACATGTTCTTGCCAGGGTTCTAGACCTGGCTTTGTTATAATGTCCATAACACTGTGTGACCATGAACAAATCCCGTTCTCTCTCAGGAACTCTGTTTCTTCCACTGTGAAAGAAGATGGTGCTGGTTGATCTCGAAGTATGCTCTAGCCCTAGATTCAAAAGAATGTAAGCCTGGGGTGCAAAGCTTCATGATTGCACTTTCTCAACCTGTGATGGAGAATCACAGGAAAAGGTGGGATGGAAAGATTTCTTCTAAAAGGTGATACACTTTAAGGGAAATACTCCTTTATTTCCCCTTAATTAAACCTTTTCTCCTCTTATTAGTATGACACAAGAAAAGAAGATGAAACTTATTTAAAATAAACCCAAGGCAGACAAACAAAATGCTTTGTTATTGTAAATAGAGGGTGGTAACAATTTTTAGAAAATTAACCAACTTTATTTTTAAATTACAAAGGTAGCATATACTCACTGCACGAAATTTAGACAATAATAAAAAGCAAAGGAGAGTGGGATAAAATTTAGCAATAATCCCACTATTCAGAGATACTCACTGTTAGCATTTTATTGTGCTTCTGCATAGTCTTATAGTTTTTTATAGCTCCAAATAAAATTGAGAATATTCTTCATATAATACACTTTGTTTTACAAAACACCATGTTGTCAATAATTATAAAATAATGCATACCTATTGTTATAATTTTGCAAACTATTTAAAAATAAAGAAGAAAAAGATAATCACCTTAATCATCATTTTAATTCTTAGATAATAAGACTTACTCTCTCATTTTGTGCTTCATGCTTTATTTTTCACAAAGATCTTGTTTGAGACTTGGCGCTATTTTTCAGTCAACATTGTTTCTTCAGAGACGCGTGACACTTTCCTCTTTAAGCACAGGTAAAACAGCATGCGGTTCCTACCCCATGGACACTTCTCTTGGCAGCACAGGGATTAACTTGGCATCAATTACACTAAGTGCTATTTAAGGAGGGAGGAGGTGTAACCTGGAAATTAAACCATTAACACTAAATTAAGGCCATCATGAAACAGTCAAGAAGCCTTTTAGACACAAATACTCTTTCTTCTCTATCTTTCTGCTTTATACAGAAATCAGGACTACCTTTCTTTTCAAGACAAGTTTCTCCTGCTTTCTGCTAAGGCAATTGGCGCCATGCTGCATTTCAGGGCTCATGAAGAATTCACTTTCCCACAAAAGAAGCATTTATAGTGCATATTTTTTGTAGTCTGTATTAAGCTTTCTGTGCATTTGTGTGCATTTGTGCCCAGGTACACATGTGAAAATTTATAGACATCTACCTAGGCATTTTTAAGCATTCAAACTCAAGTCATAAATACTACAGAAAAAAATTATAAAGGGAATAGAAGTCAGAATACATTTTATTTTTGTGGTTAATATGTTTCTCAATCTGGCTAACTTTGATTATCTTGTTATATAGAAGGTTTTAATATATCAAAAAATTTACAATATTTATCTATTTATTAATATTTATTGAGGGCCTACTATGTGTCAGAACCTCTAGTAGGTATTGGGGCTAGAACAGTGAACAAATAGACAAAATGCCTGACATCCCAGAATTTTTTCTCCAGAAGAGAAAGGCAAACAAAAAGAAAATAAATAAATAAAATATTTTAGATGTTAATAAGTGCTTGGGAGAGACAATAAAGCAGGGAAGAGGAACAGAAAGTTTGTATGGATGTGAGTAGGTGTTGGTGGGTGACTTCATTGTTTGTGCTTTTATAATAAAATATCTTAGACTAGGTCATTTGTAAGTAACAGAAATTTATTTCTCACAGTTATGAGAGATAGCTATGAAATTATTTTGACTGAAAACCCAAAGATCCTAAGGTGCTGGCAGATTTGGTGTCTGTTAAGGACTTGCTGCCTGCTTCCAAGAGGGTTGTAAACCCAAAAGTATCTGAGACAGTTATCAGTCAATTTAGAGGTTTATTTTGGCAATGTTAAGAACCATGACTTGTGACACAACCTCAGGAGGTCTTGAGAAGATGTGCCCAAGGCGATTGGTTGGTTTCATACATTTAGGGGCACAGAAGGTACAGGCCAAGATATAAATCAATATATGTGTGGTATACATTTGTTCAGCCAGGAAAGATGGGACATCTCAAAGTGAGGCCTTCCAGGTCATAGGTGGATTCAAAGATTTCCCAATTTGCTGCCAGTTGAAAGTGTCAAACTTTGCCTAAAGTGTTTGAAGTCAGCATAAAGAAATGCTTGAGTTAAGATAAGAGGAAGTTGTAGAAACCAAGGTTGTTGTCATGTATATGAAACCTTGAGGTAGCAGGCTTCAGAGAGAATAGACAGTAAATGTCACTTATTGGACTTTAAAAGGTGCCAGACTCTCTGGAAAAGATCTAGTAAGAGGAGGCGATTCTCTACAGGATGCAAATTTCTCCCACAAGAGACAGCTTTGCAGGGCCATTTCAAAATATGTCAAAGAAATATATTTTAGGGTAAAATACTTTGATTTACTTCAGGGCCTACTATCTGTCATGTGATGCTATACCAAAGTCAAGTTGGAATTTCGTATATTTATGGTACGAAGAGCCTGCTTTGTTAGTCTTAAGATCTCTGTTTTTTTTTTTTTGAGACGGAGTCTCGCTCAGTCGCCGAAGCTGGAGTGCATGTGCCATCTTGGCTCACTACAAGCTCCGCCTCCCAGGTTCACACTATTCTCCTGCCTCAGTCTCCTGAGTAGCTGGGACTACAGGCGCCCACCACCATGCCTGGCTGTTTTTGTATTTTTAGTAGAGACGGGGTTTCGCCAGGATGGTCTGGATCTCCTGACCTCTTGATCCGCCCACCTTGGCCTCCCAAAGTGCTGGTATTACAGGCATGAGCCACCGCACCCTGCCAAGATCTCTGTTTTAAAGTTAATGCTAGTCAGTTGTGCCTAAACTCCAAAAGGAGAAGGAAATAATGAGGCATATCCAATCCCCGCTTCCAGTCATGGATTGAACTAGCTTTTCAGGTTTCTTGGGGGATCCCCTTGGCCAAGAGAGAGATGCATTCAATAAGTTGGGGAGATTCGAATTTTATTTTTGGTTTTCAGGGTGCCTTGCTGCTATGTCCTCCATAGGAGATGAATGCTGTGTCCTCAAATAGTGGAAGGGTGGAGGGAAAAAAGTCCTAGCTAGTTCCCTCCAACCCAGTTATAAAGCACTAATTCCATTTATGAGGACAAAGCCCTCAAGGCCTAATCATCTCCTAAAGGTCCCACTTCTTAATACTGTGGCATTGGGGATTAAGTGATTAAGTTTCCAAATAGATTTTGAAGGGGACACAACATTTAAACCATAGCATTCCATTCTTGGCCTCCCATAGTTCACGTCCTTCCCTCTTACAAAATACGTTCACTCCATCTCAATAGTCCCAAAAGTGTTAACTTATTCCAGCATCAACTTTAAAGCTCAAGTCCAAAGTCTCAATTCCATTTTATCCGAATCAGATATGTGTGAAACTCAAGGTATAATTCATCCTGTGGCAAATTTCTCTTCAACTGTGAGTCTGTGAAATCAAACAAGTTACATGCTTCTAAAATACAATAGTTGGACAGGCTTAGGAGAGACATTTCCATTTCAGGAAGGGGAAATAGGAAAGAAGAAAGGATTGATGGATCCTGACCAAATTCAAAACCCAAAAGGGCAAACTCAAGGCTTGAGAATAATCTTCTTTGACTCCATATCTTGTCTTCTAGACACCCTGGTGTGAGATTTGGGCCCCCAAGACCCTAGACAGCCAGCTTTTCTGGACACAGCTTATGCCACAGTTCTCAGGTTTTGGAGTCTGGTGCCTGTGGCTCTCCCAGGCTGGAGTTACACACTGCTGTGCCTACAGGTCTGGGATCTTGAGAGCAGCCCTGCCCCCATGGCTCCATTAAGAATTTCTCTACTGGGGGCTCTATGTGGCAGCCCTGCTCCTGTGGCAGTTCTCTGCCTATGCCCTTAGGCTCCCTGAGATATCAATTTGAAATCTAGGTGGAGGTGGCCATGCCTGCCCAGCTCTTTCAGTCTACACAGCTGCAGAACTGGCATTGTGTAGATGTCACTAAGGTTTAGTGCTTGAGCCTTCTAAAGGATCAGCCTGAGCTAAACCTGGCCTACATGAGCCATAGTTGGGGTGGCCAAGGAACTCCTCCCGAACGTGTGGAGAAGAAACTTCAGGTGACCCTGGGCAGTGAGCCTCAAGGCCCCAGGAGCAATGTGGGCTCCTCCTTGAAACCATTCTGTCCTCAAGACCCTGGATCAGTGGGCCTGTGATAGGTGTGGCAGCCACAAAGTTCTCAGAAATGCCTTCTGGGTCTTTTTTTCCATTGTCCTGATGAATTACAGCATCTGCCTTTCTTCTATCTATACTAATCTTAGCAAATGTTTGCTTGGCCAAACTCTTGGCTTTCTGATATAGTCTGAATCTGTGTCCCTACCCAAATCTCATCAAATTATAATCCCCAATGTTGGAAGTGAGCCCTGGTGAGAAGTGATGGGATCCTCATGGGCAGGAGGATGGAGCAAATAAGGAAAGTGAGAATAATATCTGGGAAGAGCTGCAGCTAGGATGCCAACCCAGGTTTTTCCAAAGCCTCATGTAGGTCCACTAAACCAGCACTGTCCAAAGCGTGGCTCACTTTGGGAGCTTGTTAGACATGAATAATCTTAGGGCTCATCTCAGACCTTCTGCATCAGAATCTGCATTTTATCAAGGTCGTCGGGTGATTCTTATGCACATTAAAGTTTGGAAAGCGCTTCTCTACCCTACTGCCCCCGAGGATGGGCTTCTTAATATTCTGATGAGAGTCCTGCATCCCAAGCAACCCCCTGAGTGCCAGGCAAACTGGGATGGTAGATCGATCAACCTTCTATCACTGAAGGCACAGTTGGTCATAATGAAGAACATCTGCTAGACGTCATTGCTCTGGCCCTGTGCCATTCCTTCCAGTGCTCGCACTGTCTGCCTCTGGAACAATATCATTCCTAGAAGAGGCCCCTCACAATAGGTGAGCTATGGAAAGTCATTTGAGATCTGACGAGATTAAAGCACTTCATACAACTATCCACCCAGAATCATGATCATTGCTAAAATAACCTCACACAGTGTATAGCAGATGTGACAATGTGTGAGGCAGGGCTCAATCTGCCCAAGCTTATCAAAGAGAAAGTTTCTCCCTGAGAAGCCAAATGCTGTGAGAGAGACCCCATAGAATGTGCCAGACTGGAAGGAGCCATCAGTCTTGTGAGCTGCTTCTCTAGCTCTTCAGAAATAATGAGTGTCCAGCATCCAGCAGGATGTGACTAAATGGCTAGAAGTTATAAAGCTGAGTGCCAACTGAGAGACTGTCCCCACTAAACAAATCTGCCAACAACCTCTGCACACACAAAAAAAACAAATTAGGTAAATGGCCAGGCCACTCTGGAACCAAAAGCTTTCTCACTCTCCCAACATGATGTGTCAGGCATCTGGTATGCCAAGATGATGATAGAAACAGTTACAGATTAAAGAGGGTGCACTATGGGCCAAGTACAATGCTAGGTGTTTACTAGATTTTCTCCTGTAAGCCTCATAACAATCCCAGGCAGTAGCTTTATTCACAGATGGGGAACTGGGGTTCAAAAAGGAAAATAACTCGGAGAGCAAGTAACAGGACAAACATCCACAACTGGTTATTTCTGTCTCAATCCCATGTTCTTAACATCATTCTAACCTGAATTTGCTTGGGTCTCTGTCCCCATACTCCCTGCAAAAGCAATGCATTTTTCATCAAAGAGGACATTTGTGGGTATCACATCTGAGAGCACAGCCCAACACACCAAACCTTGAAAGTGGTTCTGGGTTAGAGAAGATAATGAATAGGAAACATATTTAAAATTTTGAGGAATCACCACACTGCTTTCCAAAATGGTTGAACTAATTTACACTCCCACCAGCAGTGTATGAACATTCCCTTTTCTCCACAATCTTGCCAGCATCTGTTAGTTTTTGGCTTTTTGAATAATAGCCACTGTGACTGGTGTGAGATGGTATCTCATTTGTGGTTTTAATGTGCATTTCTCTAATGATTAGCGATATGGAGCATTTTTTTATATGCTTGTTGGCCACATGTATGTCTTCTTTTGAAAAGTGTATGTTCATGGCCTTTGCCCACTTTTTAATGAGGCTGTTTGTTTTTTGTGGTATATTTCTAAAGGAATATAAATCATTCTGCCACAAAGACACATACACATGTATGTTTATTGCAGCACTATTCACAGTAACAAAGACATGAATCAACCTAAATGCCCATCAATGGTAGACTGGATAAAGAAAATGTGGTATATATACACCATGGAATATTATGCAGCCACAAAAAAGAATGAGATCATGTCTTTTTCAGGAACATGGATGGAACTAGAGGCCATTATCCTTAGCAAACTAACACAGGAACAGAAAACAAAATACCCATGTTCTTATTTATAAGTGGGAGCTAAACAATGAGAACACATAGACAGAAAGAGGGGAACAATGACACTAGAGCCAACTTGAGGGTGGAGGGAGAGGTTCAGGGAAAAAAAAACTATTAGGTACTATACTTAGTGACAAAATAATCTGTATACTAAACCCCTGAGTCATGAATTTGCATATATAAAAAACATGCACATGTACCCCTGAACCTAAAATAAAAGTTAAAATATTTTTAAAAATTTAAAAAATAAAATTTTGAGGTTTCTATAATTATCTATGTTCTTGGTACTTAAGCAATAATTATGTGAGGGTATCCTAGGTTTAATGAATACAAGAATGACAATACCCAGCATTTTATAATATGTAATCATTTGCTTGCTCGATATTATATTCATTTATCTCCACAGCAGTTTTGTGGTATACATAGAAGAGGTATTGTTTTCCTTTTTACAGATAAGGAAACAGGCTGAAAAGTGAAACAAAACTTGCCCAAAGTTGTATAGTGAGGATGTGGTCAAGAACTCACCTCTGTGCATACTAATTCTGCATCCTGTGCTCTTTCCATGAGACCACAAATGTAGTATCAACTACAAATGCATTGGCATTGTGTGTGTCCTGTTCTTGGCTCACCATCATAAAGAAAGTAGAATGGGGAAATAGGGCCCATGATCATTGATATAGCACCTGTCAGAATGAAATGATCATTGAATTTGTGAGTACCATACATACAGCAGCATTTCAGAGCTTATAGGATGTGTTCGTGTAAGTTATCATATTATACACAACAATCTTGTGAGACAGAGCAAGACTGAAGCCACTAGTCACAGGTGGCTATTCAGTACTTGAAATGTGGCTAGCTAAAATTGAGATATGTTGTTTTGGGCAGGGAGGCTTTCTTTTTTTTTATTATTATACTTTTAAGTTTTAGGGTACATGTGCACAACGTGCAGGTTTGTTACATATGTATACATGTGCCATGTTGGTGTGCTGCACCCATTAACTCGTCATTTACATTAGGTATATCTCCTAATGCAATGCTATCCCTCCCCCGTCCCCCCACCCCACAACAGGCCCCAGTGTATGATGTTCCTCTTCCTGTGTCCATGTGTTCTCATTGTTCAATTCCCACCTATGAGTGAGAACATGCAGTGTTTGGTTTTTTGTCCTTGTGATAGTTTGCTGAGAATGATGGTTTCCAGCTTCATCCATGTCCCTACAAAGGACATGAACTCATCATTTCTTATGGCTGCATAGTATTTCATGGTGTATATGTGCCACATTTTCTTAATCCAGTCTATCGTTGTTGGATATTTAGGTTGGTTCCAAGTCTTTGCTGTTGTGAATAGTGCCTCAATAAATATACGTGTGCATGTGTCTTTATAGCAGCATGATTTATAATCCTTTCGGTATATACCCAGTAATGGGATGGCTGAGTCAAATCGTATTTCTAGTTCTAGATCCCTGAGGAATCGCCACACTGACTTCCACAATGGCTGAACTAGTTTACAGTCCCACCAACAGTGTAAAAGTGTTCCTCTTTCTCCACATCCTCTCCAGCACCTGTTGTTCCCTGACTTTTTAATGATCTCCATTCTAACTGGTGTGAGATGGTATCTCATTGAGGTTTTGATTTGCATTTCTCTGATGGCCAGTGATGATGAGCATTTTTTCATGTGTCTTTTGGCTGCATAAATGTCTTCTTCTTTTTTTCTTTTTTTAATTTAATTTTATTATTATTATACTTTAAGTTTTAGGGTACATGTGCACAATGTGCAGGTTAGTTACATATGTATACATGTGCCATGCTGGTGTGCTGCACCCATTAACTCATCATTTAGCATTAGGTATATTTCCTAATGCTATCCCTCCCCCCTCCCCCCCACCCCATAAATGTCTTCTTTTGAGAAGTGTCTGTTCATGTCCTTCGCCAACTTGTCGATGGGGTTGTTTGTTTTTTTCTTGTAAATTTGTTTGAGTTCATTGTAGATTCTGGATATTAGTCCTTTGTCAGATGAGTAGATTGCAAAAACTTTCTCCCATTCTGTAGGTTGCCTGTTCACTCTGATGGTAGTTTCTTTTGCTGTGCAGAAGCTCTTTAGTTTAATTAGATCACATTTGTCAATTTTGGCTTTTGTTGCCATTGCTTTTGGTGTTTTAGACATGAAGTCCTTGCCTATGCCTATGTCCTGAATGGTATTGCCTAGGTTTTCTTCTAGGGTTTTTATGGTTTTAGGTCTAACATTGAAATCTTTAATCCATCTTGAATTAATTTTTGTATAAAGTGTAAGGAAGGGATCCAGTTTCAGCTTTCTACATATGGCTAGCCAGTTTTCCCAGCACCATTTATTAAATAGGGAATCCTTTCCCCATTGCTTGTTTTTGTCAGGTTTGTCAAAGATCAGATGGTCGTAGACATGTGGCATTATTTCTGAGGGCTCTGTTCTGTTCCATTGGTCTATATCTCTATTTTGGTACCAGTACCATGCTGTTTTGATTACTGTAGCCTTGTAGTATAGTTTGAAGTCAGGTAGTGGGATGCCTCCAGCTTTGTTCTTTTGGCTTAGGATTGACTTGGCAATGCAGGCTCTTTTTTGGTTCCATATGAACTTTAAAGTAGTTTTTTCCAATTGTGTGAAGAAACTCATTCGTAGCTTGAAGGGGATGGCATTGAATCTATAAATTACCTTGGGCAGTATGGCCATTTTCATGATATTGATTCTTCCTACCCATGAGCATGGAATGTTCTTCCATTTGTTTGTATCCTCTTTTATTTCCTTGAACAGTGGTTTGTAGTTCTCCTTGAAGAGGTCCTTCACATCCCTTGTAAGTTGGATTCCTAGGTATTTTATTCTTTTTGAAGCAATTGTGAATGGGAGTTCATTCATGATTTGGCTCTCTGTTTGTCTGTTATTGGTGTATAAGAATGCTTGTGATTTTTGC
Source organism: Homo sapiens (assembly GCF_000001405.40). Taxonomy (NCBI): domain Eukaryota; kingdom Metazoa; phylum Chordata; class Mammalia; order Primates; family Hominidae; genus Homo; species Homo sapiens. The sequence continues at coordinate 111,241,489 of NC_000003.12, forward strand.
ACATTGGTTTTGTATCCTGAGACTTTGTTGAAGTTGCTTATCAGCTTAATGAGATTTTGGGCTGAGATGATGGGGTTTTCTAGATATACAACCATGTCATCTGCAACAGGGACAATTTGACTTCCTCTTTTCCTAATTGAATACCCTTTATTTCCTTCTCCCGGGGAGGGAGACTTTCTATGCTTCTCAAGTCATGCTGCGTTGGTGAATTTTAGGTGTCAATTTCACTGGGTTAAGGTATACCTAGATAACTGGGTGTATTTGTGCGGGTGTTTCCAAAGAAGGTTGGCATATGAGTTGGTGGACTGAGTGGGGAACATTCTTCTTCATTGTGTGTGAGCATCATGCAATTGGCTAGGTACAAGACAGAATAAAACAGCAGAGGAAAGGTGAATTCACATTCTCTGTCTCCTAGAACTAGCACATCATTCTCCTGCCCATGTGTTACAGGATCTTTGGTGTGACAGTTTTCTGGCCTGAAATCTCTGGCCAGTGGCACCTTTGCCTGAGTTTTGCTCAGGTCCCTTGGGCTTGTTTCACCCACTAGGTCTGACAAATACACTTGGCTCATGCTACCGACCTGGATCCCATGCCTGCCAAGGGCAAGTCAGGCATGGAGCCACAAGGGGTGGCTGAGTGAACATGGAGTCTGGTCACTGCACAGTCAGACACACTGGCTGCTGCAGCTGAATGGGCAGCTCCAGGTGCCAGTATGGGTGCCAGCTCTCTGCAAGGCTGCAGCTGGACCAGGTGAACTTCAAGCAGCTTCCTTGGCTGGCACTGGGGAATGCAGTGGAGCCTGGAATCTCAGAGATGCCAGGCACTGCAGGATCCCAAAGAGGGAGTCACAGTCCTGGCTCTGGGAGCTCCCAAATCTGGGCTCCCTGAGGGGCCATAGCTCTTGTCTGTTCACCTGCAATGTGGGGAGCAAGGGGCATGTTTCAGCCTTGTTTGTATTATAGCTCTTTTAGCTCCACCATTCAGCGGGTCCAGAGCTCTTGTTCTGTGACTAGGTATGCAGATAAGTGGAGGGTGAGCAAGATGAAGAAGAGCTTTATTGAGCAATAGAACAGCTCACAGGAGACCTGCAGGAGGCAGCTCCTTTTTGCAGCCAGGGTGTCCCTATGAGTGTTCAGCTCCTAGCAGAGAGGAGACCCTGGAGTGGGAAGTTCCTCTCTGCAGGCAGGTTGTCCTGTGGTCTCTGAAGCTCTCAGCAGAGAGGAGGTCCTGGGATGGTTTTTTCCTCTCTGCAGGCAAGCCATCCCATCCATCTCATCATCTCCCCAGCTCCTAGCAGAGAGGAGGCCCTGGAGTGGTAGCTCCTCTCTGCTGCTGGTCATCCTAATGTCTCCTGCTATCAGCAGAGAGGGTAGCTCCTCTCTGCAGCAGGTCTGCCCATCATCTGCTCTTCTCTGGCTGAGCCTGGGGCTTTTATGGGCCTCAGAGGGGAGAAGGAACATGCTGATTGGTCCATTGGTGGCCATGGGTGGGCCTGGAAAATGCACCACCAGTTCCCACTCTGGTCCCTGGGACAGGCAGCCTGGCCCTTGGCCTTCAGGCCCTCCTAGGCCTGAAGGTGGGGTCTCACCAGAGACCCATCCCCTTCCACCCAGGAATCTGTCTACCTCCTGCTGCTGTTCATGGTGCCCCTCACCTGGAGATGGGAGCAGGCACTGACAGCAGGGGGAAGCCAGGCAGTGGGGGCAGGTGCTTCAAAGCCTATGAGGGCAGGGGGGCCTTCCAAGGCCCCCCAAGAGTGCAGAGATGCCATGGTTTGAGTGGCTGCAGCTGTGGGTGGTGGGGGCAGCCCCTGCCTGCTCCTGGCCCCCCAAGAGCACAGGGAGGCTCATTTCTGCAGCCACAACTTGGGCAGTTGCAGCCTCTCTTTCCTGGGCTCTGAGGAGTGGGAGACCCAGGTCTGTAGCCATGATTTGGGTGGTTGCAGTGGCACCTGGGGAGCTCCCACCCCAACTTGGAAGGGGCAGGGCTACCACTTGTCCCTGGCTCCTGCCAGCTCCAAGGAACATGCAGCCTCACTGCATCTCTCTGCTGCAGTTGGCCTGATGGCAGCAACAGGCCATGTGAAGCAGCTACTGCCATCACTTGGACATGGAAAATACAGGTTCTCATGTGTTTGGACTCTGGGACTTGTACCCCTGAGTTCTCAGGCCTTTAACTTTCCCAGTTTTGAGGCTTTTGGACTTCTCAGCCACATTACTGGCATCCCAAGGTCTCCAGCTTGCAGACAGCCTACCAAGGGACTTCTCAGCCTCTATATAATATCGTGAGTCAATTCTCATGATAAATCCCCTCTTTCTATCTATTATCTATCTATCTGTCTATCTATCTATCTATCTATCACCTATCTATCACCTATCTTCATCACCACCATCATTATCTATCGTCTATGTATCTACCTATTATCTATCTATCTATCTATTTATCTATCATCTATCTTCATCACTACTATTATTATTATTATCTATCATCTATCTATCTATCTATCTATCTATCTATCTATCATCTATCCATTCATCTGTATAGCTTTCCATCCTGTTGGTTCTGTCTCTCTGGAGAACTTGACCAATATACATGCCAGGAACAGAATAACTGAAGCAGAATAATGGCCCTGAGGTTGAACATCCCCATTTGACATGTATCCAGTACTGAAGTAGATGAGAGAGAGACAACCTTGTGTATATGGATGTGTAAATATGTGACACCCAAAATGGATAGTGGAGTGAAAAAGTGTGGTGTGCATTGTGTGTGTGTGTGTAGGGTGGGAGGAGAAAGGCTGGGGATTGGGAGGAGGGTCTTGATGTGGTGAGCTATTAGAGACAGGAGTGCCTTTATTAAAAATATGGTTATTTGTATGTTAACAACCCTCTGAATTCTGGCTGTACAATTGATATTTTAAAATATTCTCATGTCTACATAGAGCTGGATGGTTTTTATTTTTTATTGGATATATGCTATTTTCCCAAATGAGGCTTTAGATGAGGAGTTTATGAGGGAAAGGGCTTGATGGAACCAAACAGCAAATAGGAGCTCTAATAACCTCTTCCATTCTTTGAGTTAAAAATGTTTCTAAAGCCAAACTAGAATTCCTCTTTGTGTTACTAGCTAAGCTCAGTTAATTAAACTGAGCTATTTTTCTCTCTTTGTCTCCCAGTGTTTTGCTGAGGGATTCCCTTCACCACCTCACAATAGATGCTGAGTATTGCCTCGGACAGGAAACATTCTGTTTCTTTTTCTTCTCTTCTTCTCCTCCCCTCCCCTCTTCTTCCTTCCCAGATGCCTCCATCATTTTCTTTCAATACGCATTTGGCTTTCAGCTGCTTGTTTCAGGAGGTTTGCTTGGAGTCCCTGAGCTTGGACAAGTCTTAGTGCAGTATTTGTGATTAGCCCTTAAGAACTGAAAGGAACTCTTCCAAGGGAGGAGTGCCTCTTGATGTCTTCTTCAGCACAGTGGAATGTGGAGTGCAGCTATGAAAAACTTTCATGGTGCTACTTGTGCCACAGCTCCCTCCAGTTAGACACTGTAATATCAAGTGGGCACTCTTCCCAGGGAAGTCATCTCAGCTAAATTACATGTGTTTCTCTCTTAGCTTTAAGTTATTATTATTTTTCAGCCTCCTGTCTCTCCTTAAATCCAACATTATCTTGTATCCCTCCAAGGAACTCAGCCTTTATTTTGCAGTTTGCAGAAAATTATGGAAAAGGTTAGATGGGGAATTCCTTTATAATCACTTTAAAAGCCAGATTGTTAGGATGGAAAAAACTGGGATTTTCAAATAAAAACCAAGAAGCTGATAGGATTATGTTTGAGGAGTTGTTGACCAGTGGGTACCATGGTGCAGTGTAGTTTTGAGGATAGAATGGAGTATCTATGTTTCCTCAACCTCTATTTTTCTAAAATAAAGGTGTCTTTTAGTTTGCTGTCTTCTTCATATAAAAGCAATACATACTTGAAACTATGCAGTGAAGCAGTTTCCCATCTCACTTAGAGTAAAAGCCAGAATCCTTCTCATGGTCTATAAGACCTTGTCACCTTTCTGACCCAATCTTTTTCTCTTCTCCCTATTGCTCACTCTGCTCTAGGAATATTGTTTCCTCACTTAGGCTATGCATGTTCATGCCTCAAAGACTTTACACTGAGAGAAAACTCCTCTTCCAGACAGTTCCATGACTATCTCATTTCTTGCAGATCTCTGCTCAAATATCACCTTATCAATGAGGCCTTTCTCAACTGCCACATATTAAAGAACCCCCTCCCCACAGCACCATGCCCCCTTTACTTCCCCTTTTAAACCATAGCACCCATCACCATCTGATGCATCATATTTTTACTTGTTTATGATCTTTCTTCTCTCACTAGAATGTAAACTCCTTCTACTGCTAAAACAGCACTGGCACTAGGAGGCATTCAATAAATATTATCTGCATGAATGAAGGCATAGTACTCATGAATTCACAAGCATGAACTGTGCTTTTTCAACCCAGATGAGTATGTGGCTTGCTTGTACTTAGTTTGGGTCAAGAACCAGCATATTCTATCATTTATAAACATTTTAAAATCAGAAGCATATAGATTATCAGTCAGAGCTTGGTCAGTAAAACAGAAGTTACTCTAGGTATTTAAAGTAAGAAGAAGTTTAATCAAGGAAATCAAAGTCCAGCACAATTGGAGATTTACGTTGAGAGGCTGGGGAAGCAAAGGTAAGAAAGGTTGCTTCCAGGAAACCTGAAAGAACAGGCTTTAGGAAGCTGTCATCAGTGGTCTCAGTTGACTCCTGTGTGGAGAATTGGGTGGCTCTCAGGAGAATGCCTGAAGGCCTCAGGTAAAATCCCTGCCACACCCGCTATCTGCTGATATCTACACACTGATCTACAGCTTAGGGAAAAAAGTTCTTATTTTCTATCCCCAAAATCTCAAACAAGTGCTTCTCATTGGCCAAATCTCACCGGGCTCTACAGTTAGATTCCCAAAGGAGTATGGGAACTGCAGTTTTTGAGCTTCTCAACTCTGCACTATAGAGCAGAGCTTAGAAGGATGGAGTGGTTCTGATTTTTAACAGACAATATCCAGCACAGATTATTTATTCATTGATTAGGAAACTACTCTCATTTTATGATTTATATAGTTTATTCATGACAGTCTTCAGCTATCTGACATTTGCAAAGGAAAAATTTTAAATCTCATCCTGGGGGACCTAGGGTTATTCTACCTAACATCATAAGATCTATCCTGCACTCCTCTCTCCTGCCCCAAGTAATACTTCCAAATGTGCCTCTAGAAATGACTGTCTAGGAGTATGCGAGATTGCTGAATTCTCATCTCTTTCAATTGCAGAATGTATTTGTGTTTTCTTTACTGGAACTCCTAAGAGATGATTCCTTCACCCTCCCACACTTTCTCCCATTCCCTAACAAGTATGCTCTTCCCACCTGACCATGCTCTGGGGCTACATAAACCCAGGTTTCAGTTGCTTACAGGTGTGACTGAAGCCAGTGGGCCAGTGGCACCATACATCTGAGTCTCCAATTTTCACCGATGATCTAGATACAGCCTGAGGTATGTAGGCAGGAAGGGGTGTTGCACCATGGGGCAGGTTTCATAACACCCCACTGGGAACAGAGCAGACAAAGTAAATATTATCCTGACTTGCTATTAGAGAGGAAATGAGGCAGAAGAACTTGCCAATGATGGCATGGTTGATGTGGGGCTCACTCTCTCTCCTGGTGAGTCAGCAGCAGCCCTGCTGAGAATACATCTTAGGAAGGCAGCTCCCATTCCATTTTGCACAGACGACTGTAATACATTTGAGGCACATCATTGGAAACCAGTGCTCAAAAATAGAACCAGCCTCATCTATAAATTGCTTATAGGCATTTTCCATAGTCCTACGATGTCATGTTAAAGGGCTTCCAGACAGATACTGCCCATATATTTGACTGGAGATTGTGAGTCAGTTCAACAAAAGAAAATATCTTGAACTTCCAGGTAATAGAAACATTAAGTTTGCAGCACTCTAGTTAGCCTGGAGTGGCCCGGCAACAGGAAACAACATCTGTGCGCCATACTTCCTCCCAACATACCAGCACAATATGTGTCTTTCTTCACATAGTGACCAACTTGATCTTTCACTTTGCCATTTGAAATTACGATTACTTACTTAGAAATATCCTAAAATCAAAGCAACGGACTTGAATTTTATAGAGCATGTCAATTTCCTTCTCTCATCACAAAAACTGTATTATGACTTTTTGAATGCATGTCTTGATTACAAATTTGATTCTTCAGGGTCCTATTCAATGTAAGGACAACAGAAATTTCAGAGACAAGCATATGGTACTCTTTTACACTTTGTAATTGGCAATCAACAGAGTTGGATACTTTTCCTGAAAAAGATACCTCCTTCATGAAATGAGGCCTATTGACACTGTCTGACTTCAGTTCCTTTATTATATCACCTTGGTGATTGCAGAAGTCATTGATTTTATTCTCTGTGTTGTACTCTATTCCTATTTGATTTCTGAGAACCCTTCTCCGCTAAACTGTCATTAGCCTCCCTAAGCCGTTCACCCCCGCACAAAGACTCCTTCCCTCTACATTAGGACACTTCCAATAGTATGTGACACTAACATATAAATGTTCTTGTTTATTTTAACCTCAAGATTCCTCAACTATGTGATCTCTTTTTATGACTTTATTTCTTGGACACTTCTGCTGTGCTTAATTCCTTGAAATCTAGTTTTTGCACTTGCTACTTTCCTAAAACATCATCATTCATTCTCTAAGCTCTATAGTGACTATCCTGTTTACAAACTTAATAGTCTTTTCCATATATCATTTCTGACATATTTGCCAAAGTTGACTATCCTGAGGCTTAGTGTAACTGTATAGCACACCAACCTTAAACTCAGTGACATGAAACAGCAACCACGTATTACTGCTCACTCTTTTTGTAGGTTGCTTGGGAATTGGTTGATATAGGACAAATTTCTGTGGTGGCTCTTGCTTCAGCTCATGGCTGCTGGGGTAGCTTTGCTTTATGTTAATGCCATCCAGGGAGGCTCTTCTGCACATCCTCTTTTTATGACCAACAAGAAAGCTGGGGCATGTTCTTCTCATGGAAATGGTAGAGATACAAAAACTGAGTGGAAACATGTAAAGCCTCACAAGGCTAGGCATGGAGCTAGCACAATCACTTCTTTACACACAACATTGGCCAAAACAAGTCACATGGATAAACCCAAAGTTCAAGGTTGGAGCACTACAACCATTGCCAAGGTAAAAGTGTAGATGTAGATAGTGGTGGAGAGTTGAAGCCATTCCTTCAGTCTGTCATGTCTGACACACTCCCCTACTTTGGCTTTTGTGTCTCCACATCATTCTGAGTCTCTTCCTAGGTTTCTGATGACCTTTCACTAGATCCTTTAATTATGAAACTGGATTTTCAGCAATACTCTGTCTCTTGTCCTATGCTCCTATCTTTATCAATAAGATGCTTAAATTCAATTAGTATCTCAATGTTGAAGTAGCTCTCAGGTCTCTACCCCAAGCCCTATTTTCTCATCAATTTTATTTTGTTTATTTTACTAATACTTTAGTTTGTACAATTCACTGTTACCCTAGATTCAACAATTTAAAAAAACAACTTATTGTCTTTCACCTAAAAGCATCTTTCTCTCTTATTTCCTTTGACCCTTTCCAGTGGTTACACCATTACACTTCTTTATCCTTTACATTCCATATCATGCTTCATATTAGGTCTTAACACATTTTCTTAAGAAATTACTATTCTTTTCTTCCTAAAATGGCCCATACTTTCTTAGCCCCTGACCCCCAGTCAAATTCCATCCCCATCCTTCAAGGCTTAAGAAAACATGGTCAATTTTTCTGCAAAGGTACCTTCTCTGACATCTCTAGACTTCTTTGGTTTTCTTTGCTTTCAAACTCCACAACTATTTTCAATCTCTGAGATTATCAATATTATCAATCATCAATTTGTCAATTCAATTTTCTCTGGTATAATTTGTTTTGTTCAATTTACATATATATCTATTCTCTGCAAACAGACTATAAACCAAAGAGACAATGTGTTGCATTAAGGGAGTGTAGGATTTGGACACAAGCAAACTTGGTGTGAGTCATATTCAGCTTCTTATTACCTGTGTGCCTTGAGAAAATTATTTAAAGTCACTGAGCATCAGTTTTTGCCTCTATACAAAATGGGTTATTTACACTGAAAAATCTTGCAGAAGAATAAAAGAGATCATGTATTGAAAGTACTCAGTACACAATACATTCTCAATAATATTTTGGTTTTCTTTCCATTTTTCTTTCTTTTTGTCTCCCATAGCTTCTTCTTGTGCTTAATATTCCTATGTTCTACTTACATGTATTCATTCCCTCTCTTTAATTCTAAAGCAAATTCCTTAAGGAGAAAATCTATGCATTTTATATCAACATAGTTATCTTCATATACAGAAGACCTAAATTATGTGACCTGAAGTCTATATGTATTATGAAATTTTTTAAAAAGCCTGGCCAGGCATGGTGGTCCAGGCCTGTAATCCCAGCACTTTGGGAGGCTGAGGCGGGCAGATCATGAGGTCAGGAGATTGAGACCATCCTGGCTAACATGGTGAAACCCTGTCTCTAATAAAAATACAAAAAAATTAGCCGGGTGTGGTGGCAAGCGCCTGTAGTCCCAGCTACTGAGGAGGCTGAGGCAGGAGAACGGCGTGAACCCTGGAGGCAGAGCTTGCAGTGAGCTGAGATCATGCCACCGCACTCCAGCCTGGGCAATAGAGCGAGACTCCGTCTCAAAAAATAAAAATAAAAAATAAAACAATAATAATAATAATAATAATAAGCTTCCAAGGTTTCTAGAAAAGTCTTGCTTGTATTAGTAGAGCCCAGTGAATTGTGAAATAACTAAAGTTTCTATTGAATGTTTCCAGTTATCTTGTTTTGTATGATTTTTCCCCCCTGCCCTGTTAAGGAATCAAGTCACCTTCTTCCCATAAAACATTTCTTAAAGAGTATCTGATGTTGGTCATTCCTAGCTCTGTGTAAATTTTAGCCTGAGTATTTCTTCCTCCAAGTGCCTTCCTAACAATTTATTCATTCATTCATTCATTTTGCTATTGATCAATGGCTTTTCTTGGCTGATAGAGATTATGCCAGTATGGGCCACATCAAACATGGATAGTTGGGTTCAAAAATGCCCAACACCCTCATTCTCTTCAATCCACTGAGACAGAGCAATTCCTGCCTCCCCCTCACTCCCGGCCACTATCAGCAATTTAAGAAAATGTTATTTTCCCCATGACTTGAGTGAAAGCTTCTTGTCTGGTTTGTAGCTTTGTGGCTGACACAAAATTGGGAAAAATAGAATTCACAATGCTGTTAGTAAGATAGAATGGACAGAAGGCTGAAATCAAACCAATAAGGTAAAACTCAAGAGACAAACACCTATATTCAGTACAAAATAAGCTTAATCTTATAACATTATATATAAACAAACAAGACAACAACAAAAAAATGAACACATTGAGATGCTGTTACTAAAGTACAAGTTATTCCTTGTTAGTGGAAACCCTAGTCCCATTTTACCCTGTCACATCTGGGGCACTGCATTAATTCTGCATGCAACACACCAGAAAGATCACTGACAAACTGGGAACAATTAGAGGACAGCAGCCAGAGAATGGAGGATCTAGAAACCCTTCACCATAAGAGGCACAAGACAGATAGGATCTAGTTGCCCCTGATTATCAGGAGGTCTGCCTTGCTGGATAAAGAGTAGCCTTGCTTTATTTTGACCCACAGGGCAGAACTGGCACTGTCCAAAAACGAAAGGTCTGTCTTTTAGGGCTTTGAATTCCCTGTCTCTAAAATTTCAAACTAGAGCTCTAGGGAACACTTAAAAGTGACTCCTTACATTTAGTCATTGTCAGGCATTGGTATAAACATTTCACATATCTGTCTATCATCTGTCTATCTATCTATCTATCTATCTATCTATCTATCTATCTATCTAATTCTCACAACAACTCTTAAAGTCAGGTATGAGCATTATTCCCATTTTAGAGGTAAAGGGACTGAGGCTCAGAGAGTTTGTTGCCCAAGGTCATATAGCTAATTAGGGGCAGAGCTGGGATTTGAATCTAGGCATTTCTTTACCATCTGTCTCTAAAAGGTGGTCAAGATTTTGAGTTGCCTTTCACCTCTAAGTCTTTTTAATAGAGATTATTCTTATTACAAAAGTAACAGTTAAAAATCCATCCATGCTTCATCTGTGATTTACATACCTTGTAAAGACTTATTCGAATCATGCATATTTTAAGTACTATCTGGTGGTAGAGCACAAGTAACATACAAGTTGTGGCATAAAATTGATTTCCTCTTTCTTTGCAAGTTACTGCACATCCAAATGGGTCATAACATACCCTTACTCCCTCTTGAATCACAAAGTAAACCTTGAAGTTCTTTTTTTTTTTTTTTTGAGATGGAGTTTTGCTCTTGTTGCCCAGGCTAGAGTACAATGGCATGATCTTGGCTCACTGCAACCTCTGCCTCCCGGGTTCAAGTGATTCTCCTGCCTCAACCTCCCAAGTAGCTGGGATTACAGGCATGCGCCACCACACCTGGCTAATTTTGTATTTTAAGTAGAGACGGGGTTTCTCCATGTTGGTCAGGCTGGTCTCAAACTCCTGGTGATCTGCCCGCCTCGGCCTCCCAAAGTGCTGGGATTACAGGTGTGAGCCACCACACCCAGCCAACCTTGATCTAAATCTCTGTGAATTATTAGCATTGCTTTGAATAATTCAGATGGGAGAAGAGAAGGAAAGTATACTGGTATTTGGTGAGCTTTTTCTGGAAGCCAGAAATGGTCTTTGGAGACATATGTATATTATATCACTTAATGAACTTAACAAGCTAAGGAGCTAGATATTATTCCCATTTTACAGATGAGTAAACTAAATATCAGAGGAACCCACCTAACACTGCTATTAAGTTGCAGAGGCTACATTTGGACTCAGAGGCATGTGGTGCCAAAACATGCTTTTCAAACTGTAGCAAATTGTTTCTCAGACACAAACACTAGGGCATCTACTGTGGGCTTGACCAAGTCCAAGAGCACCACAGGGTTTGTTATCTTGTTGGCCCTTTAAGAATACTTTCAGAGAAAGAAAAGAGACGCACACCTTAACAGAGATTATATGAGACTGGCCATCTTAAACAGATTGACAGCAACACTTGGTCTATCTATAGCCTGAGAGTGGCTGAGGCTTGAGGAAGAAAGAGAGAAAGGGTGGAAAAGAGGAGGTTTCAAAGTCAAATCTGACAAGGGAAAATCCCTGGACACCGGAACGTTCAACCTCCCTCTCCCTTCTCCAGTCCTAGCTGAGTCTGCCCAGCAACACTTTCCTGTTGGTCCCCACACACCACGTGGTACATTTCCTTAAATGCCTGCTTTCCTTCTCTTTTCTTACTAGAATCATCCAGAAAAGAGGGCACAGCTTGCTCTACTGCATCAGGTCACCTCAGTGTGCTGCTAAATGGCTCCATCATGTGGGAAAGACCCAAACTTTTATATTAGTTATCTATTGCTGTATAACAAGTTACCTCAAAATTTAGTGGCTTAAAACAACAAAATGTTTATTTCACAGTTTCTGTAGGTTAGGAATCTGGGAGGGAGTTAGCTGGGTAGTTCTGGATTAGGATCTCTCATGAAGCTGCAGCCAAGGAATTGATCAAGTCTGCAGTCTCTGAAGGCTTAATGAGCTGAAGGAACTACTTCCAAGATCATGCACTTGAATTTTAGTTCCTTGCTATGGAGGCTTCTCCATAGACCTACCAGGAGTATGGTTTTCCCTAGAGCAAGTATCAAGTAACAAGGGGGTGTCGGGGGTAGGGGAAGGGGGATAAAATGGAATTTAAAATAATAACCTAATCTTGGAAGTGATACACCATTATTTCTGTCATGTTATCGGTCACCCAGATAAACCCTCAAAAAATGCAGGAAGGGATTTTACAAAGGTGTGAATATCAGAAAGCAGAAGTCAATGGGGTCATCTTTGAGGCTGGCTACCACATGTGCCATTGGTGGACTTTACAATCCTATGGGACCTTCAGTTAAAATGCAGGTGTTTCCAGAGAGGGTTAGCATATCACAGGCCATTCGGTAATTAACCAAGTAGCTGCAACCATGAAAAGCAGAGTTTATATGGGTAAGTTGTGTGTGGAGGGTTGATAGGAGGTATAAGAAAAAATTTTCTTTGGAGTTTTGGAGGAGGGACAGCGGGGAAGAATCTATTTATGGGAGAGAGTATTAGGATGGTGCAATGATAAACTCACCAAAAAGCAGGGTCCTGTTTAAGGGGAGGAAATAGACTAAGGGGAGTCTTTGCAAACATCAGCCACAGAGACTTTGGTGGTTGCACCCACAGTGTTTGTACAGAAATGGAGAAAAAAACAGGTGCTGCGGCTCACTGCTGGTTAATTAAATGTTGATTCCAAGGCAGCTTGTGGAATATGTGCACTATATATTATTCTCAGTTTGGTTTTTCTTCTTTTTAAAAAATCACACATTTTAATTAACCTTCAAGCCCTTGCTGGGGCTTTGAAAGAACTTAATTGGCCTGCAGGGATTGGAACACACAACAGCCAAAGAAAAGCTACATCTCAGTTGTTTTCACTCCAAGGACTTATAAAATTGAAATTATTGTTTTATTTCATTCTTTGAAGCCCAGAGCTACATGTAAATTCATATTTGGAACTGGCAGAAGCATCCTTGAATACTTAAGTGAGGATCACAAAAAGGTATTTAAGCAGCAAGTTATATGTGAGTATTTAATACTTGAATTTTATATTCATCTGGTATCTTTGAGTTTGCAATAAGAATAGTACTCTCCCACTTTTTGCTTTACTCAGTGAAGATGCAAAATACTTTGAGTGGAATTTAATATGCAGAATTTCAGTCAGGTAGGAAATCTCTTGATATTAAGACCCCTTAGGAGATTTCCAAATGTTTTCAGTTTTGTCAAACATAATGCTGAGAATCATAGTCAATTTGCATATTTCATTTTCCATATGATACAACATCTTTACATGATAGCAAAAGTGTTCCAAGAAAGTCAAAGCAGAAGCTGGAAAGTATCTTCAAGCTTGGCCCTGGAAGTCACAAACAATAATTTCACCACTCTCTATTGATCAAAGCAAGTCACAAGGCCAGCTCAGTTTCAAATAATGGGGAAACAGACTAACTCTTGATGGGAGGAATGGCAAGTCACATTGCAAAGAGGTGGGGACATAGAGAGGTGTCATTCGTTGAAAGTCATCATTGTAACAAATCGACCATATACACCGTGATGAACAACCAGAAACTTATAAATGGATTAGAGTTTTCTGACTCTGTACTGTGTCATGCACATTATTAGTGTTTGGTCATATATCAGAATACATCCTAAAATGATATTTTGCTTCTATCCAATCATAAAAAAAAATACAGAAGTGAGGGCAAAATGGATAAGGAATCAGCAGAGCCTCCAACCTTGGCTTAAACCCAGATTCTTGCTTCTTGATCTGTAGCTACTACTTCCCTTCTCTCTTTCAAGGAGACAACTACTTTACTGCTCCCTTTATTCTGAATTTTTTGGTGGCTGAAACTAGGTTAAAAGTAGACTTTTGAGCTTTGCTTCATTAGTCAGGGAATTTTGCTTAAGGTTATAGGGGAGATAATTTACTTTACAAGATTATGAGAATGAACCCACAGATCTATGAAGTACCTGTTGTTAGTGGTTATAAGCACTTTTCCAACCTCCATTTTCTTTACCTATCCCTCTCCATTTATTAATATTCCAAAGAATGAATATTATGTGAGTTTTGGTATGTGTGAGTTGCATTTAATTCAGAAGGATTTATTTGTCAACAATAACCTGGAAATGGAGTATTTATGCTTGATAGGCATCACATGTTCCTTAAGTATTACTATGAAATGTCAGGGTTCAGTCTTTGAGAAGAAATTTCATTATCAAAAGCTGGGGATAACTTGAGCACAATAATGAGCCACAGCACAAGAGAATCAAAAGATACAAGGGTGAAGAAGGAAAGGACCTAACACTATCCTTAGCTCCTGCTATAAGCTAGGCACTGAGGTAGTCACATAATCCACATGATCTCACTTGATTCACAGCTACCAGCAAGATAGTTACTTTAACCCTAATTTCACACACACACAAAAAAAGGCAAGTTAGAGAGGTTGGTAATACCTTAAGTCACACAGCTAGTAAATAGTAGAGCTTGAGTTTTGACTACATTTTGTCAATTTTAATGTCCATGTTCTTTTCATTGCACTAAGGTAATAACTTCATCTACAGTAATAGCAGAATCTCATTAAAAAAAATTCTCCATGTTATGCAGTGTTCTTTTCTGTAATTCATAGTTTAATTTGGGTTTCATAAATTCTTGAATTCATTATGCTTCAAAGTACAAATGTTATCAAGATAATCTGGATACTATAGACAGTTTAAAATTTACCCTTACTAGGAGTGTTTCTTCTATTCTGTTTATCAATAGGTGATATATTGATTAAATAAATCACGGCAGAATAAACATGCAAACTGCTGATCAGTCTATTTGGTTGATAGCTGTTTGGTAAGAAAGAAGATAAAAATAATTGCTAGAACAAATTTACATTTTTTAAAGAATCTTCAGTTGCCTGCCTTATCTCTTTCCACTACTATTCTGGAAATGATGGTCTACATGCCATTACGTCCTCTCTTGATTTTGAAAAGATTTCTCCCAAAATGAAAGCAACACGCAAACCTGGAAAATTCAATTCTCACAGAAGTGTGAATATCTCAAAAATTTTTTTCCAAGCAAGAGAAAATGTCATCTTAAAAATACTTCAATTAATTTTGCTTGGTATCATTAACAATTGAGAAAACTAGTAAGGACATGCTTCTTCTGAGAAAGACTAGAGCTGACAAACATGAACTGCTGCATGTCACTTTTATGTTTCTGTTTAATGCTCATTCAAGCTTTCACTCAGGCTGTTTGACTGGAACTTTGTTTCATATAAAAAAAAAAGATACATAAACCAGGGCAGTGGTTTTGTTTCTGGTTCATAAAGTTGCTTAGTTTAATTATAAATGCATTTGTGTCTCATTATAATTTATGCATCTGAGATATTCTACACTAAATCTTTACACGGCTTCAATGTAAAGCTCAGTCTTCCAATTTCTGTCTCTTGTTATTTTTCCTGTGAACCTAAAATGATGTTGGCTGACTATGAACCATGTTGAGAGAGAGGAGCTGTGCAATAATAATTAGGGCTGGTGTTCTATGGAGTACTTACCATGTGACCAGCTCTTGGATAAGGCTTCCTATGCCTTAATTCATTGAGTGCTTGCCATACACTTATGGGATAGATGCTGTTATTAACCCCATTTGATAGAAAAGGGATTAAACTTTCAGGGAAGTTAAGGCATTGCACAAAGTGAAACAGCTATTAATGATGCAATTGAGACTGCAAATTTGTCTAGTCTGACAACAAACTCTCTACTCTTGTCTTAGTTCATTCAGGCTGCTATAAACAAAACACTGGTGGTATATAAAAAACAAAAGTTTATTTCAAATAGTTCTAGAGGCTGGGAATTCCAAGATCAAGACACTGGCAGATTCCATATCTCATAAGGACCCACTTCCTGATTCATAGATGGCAATCTTCTGACTGTGTCTTTGTGTGGTGAAAAAATCAGGGCATTCTTTGGGGTCTTTTTTATAACGGCCCTAATTCTATTTATGAGGGCTTTGCATTCATGACCATATCACCTTTCAAAGACTCTATCTCTGAATACAATTACATTAGGAATTAGGTTTCAATAAATGAATTTGGGGATGACATAAGCATTCAGTGTATAGAAACCCTCAATTACTATACTTGCTTCCCTTGTGATTTTTTAAAATTAAACTTTTTATTTTGAAATAATGGTAGAGTCACATATAGTGTAAGAAATAATACAGAAAGATCCTCTGTAAATTTTACACATTTATCCAATAATAATATCTTGCAAATTAGAGTACAAAATCACAACCAGAATATTAACGTTGATACAGTTAAGATATTAGTACAAAACAGTTCCATTGTAAGAATCTTCTTTTCTGTCCTCTTATAACGATACTCGCTCCTAACCTCCTAACCCCTGGAAACCACTAATCTGTAATACATTTATTATTTTGTCATTTCAAAAGTGTTTTATAAATGTAATCATATAGTATGTAACCTTTGGAGACTGGATTTTTAAACTCAGCATAATTCTCTCCAGATTCACCCAGACCATTGTGTATATCAATAGTTTGTTTTTTGTTGCTGCATGGTGTTCCAAGGTAACAATGTAACACTGTTTAACCATATATTCACTGAAAGACATTTAGGTGTTTCTAGTTTTTATCTGTTAAAAATAAGCTGCCATGAACATTTGTGTATAGGTTTTTGTGTGAACAAATTTTCATATCTCTGGAATAAATGACCAAGCATGCAATTGCTGGGTTGTATGGTAATCGCATGTTAATTTTATAAGAAACTTCCAAATTACTTTGCAGAGTAGCTATACCATTTTCTACTCCCATCAGGAATATATGAGTGGTCTAGTTTCTCTGCATCCTTACCATTATTTGTTGTTTTCACTACTTTTTGTTTTAGCCATTCTAATAGTTATATAGTGATACCTCATTGAGGTTTTAATTTGCATTTCTCTAATGGTTAATGATGTTGAACATCTTTTCATGTGCCTTTTGACCATCTGTATATTCTCTTCAGTTAAATGTATCTTTATGTCTTTTGTTTTTAACTGTTGAGTATTGAGAGTTATTTACGTATTCTATATATTAGTTATGTAGGATATGTAGTTTGCAAATACTTCCAACCTGTGGCTTCTTTTTTTCCCTTTCATGGGATCTTTTGCAGAGCACAATTTTGAGGAGGTCTAATTTATCAATTATTTGTGCTTTTGATATCAAGTCTAAGAGCTCTTTGCCTAGGCCCAGATCCTGAAGATTTTATTATTTTTTCTTTTTCTAAAAGTTTTGTGGATTTTTACATTTAGATCCATGATTCATTCTTGTTAATTTTTAAATCAAGTGTAAAGTTTAAGGCAAGGCTTCTTTTTCCCCTAAAGATGTTTAATTGTTGTAGGAATAGTTGTTGAAAACTCCATTAAGTTGCTCTTTAACCTTTGTCAAAAGTCATTTGGGTGGAAGGTTAGAGACAACAATCAGTGAGATAAAGACTAAGCCTAAGTGAGCTAAAATTTTGGCAAAGTTGACCAGAGTGATAGTAGAAAGCTCTAGTCTCTCTTTCCTACCTTGAGACACTTGGTTCACAATAATATGTGAACCCAATTGCTTTTTTGAGAACTCCAGAAACCATTCAATACTTTGCAGACCCCAGGTGAATACAAAGCCAATAAAAACTACATCCAAGCAGGTAAGAAAGTATGTGGCATTTACTTGCTATATTCCCTCTCCCTGGCTGGCACATCGTGGTCTGATTGGAAGAAAACTCTCAACTTGAGGCTTCTCCCTTAGAAAGGAAAAAGAAGAAAAAATTGTGCATTCAATGTTGTGACTTTTGGGGGGCTATCTGAGGGGCTGCTTTCTGTCTCAGCTGATAAAAAGTCCTGATGAGAGCTGGCAGAGTTTGGATGACTTGGAGCTGCTAAGTTCACAAAGGTGAATGAATCAGCTTTTTGAAGCATTGGAGGGACAATGTTACCATGCAAAGACATCACAGGGAGCAACAGATGTTGAACTCCTGGAAAAAAATGGAGAAAAACCTTTTTAACTGGGAAGTTACATTCATAAGCCCAGATAGAACATATCTCCAGAAAAGGTTTGAGAAGTCCCCAGAATCTCAATCTGCCCTGACTGGTGAAAGCCTTCCCTGAATGAAGTGAGTCAGTAATGACTGGGAAAGGTGGTCTTTTTTTAAAAAAAATATTCATAATTTAAAAAAAGGTCACAAAGCATACAAAGAAGCAAGAAATGAGACCCCAATTAAAGGAGCAAATTAGATCTTCAGAAACTGGCCATGTAGAAATGGACATCTATTATTACTTGGCAAAGAATTCAAAATAACTGTCTTAAGGATGTTTAATGAAGTAAAAGATAACACATAGAGACAATTACCCAAATCAGAAAAAAATGATGCATGAACAAAATGGGAATATTAACAAAGAGATAGAAAGTGTAAAAAAGAACCAAGCTGAAATTCTGGAGTGAAGAATAGGATAAATGAATGGATAAATTCACTAAAGATGTTCAACAGAAGATTTGATAAATCAGAAGAAAAAATCAGTGAACTTGAAGATGGATTATTTAAAATTACTGAGGCAGATAATAAAAAAGAAAAAAAGAATGAAGAAAGCTGAAAAGAGCCTGAGGAACTTATGAGACACCATCAAGTGAACCAATATATACATTATGGCAATCTCAGAAGAAGTGAGAGAAAAATCAGCAGACAGCCTATTTGAAAAAGTAATAGCCTAAAAGTTTCAAATTTGAGGAAGAAAATGGGCATAAAATTTAAGTATCTCAACAAATTTCAAATAAAATGAACTCAAATATGCCAACAGCAAGACATAACAAAATTGTCAAAAGTCAGACAGAAAGAATCTTACTTATTTGTTTATGTAACTGACAAGTGAAAATTGTATATATTTATGAGATACAACATGATGTTTTCATATATGTATGCCTTGTGGAATGGCTAATCAAGTTAGTTGACATATGCATTACATCACATACTTATTTTGTGTGTGTGTGGTGAGAACACTTAAAATCTACTCTCTTAGCAATTTTTCAGTGTACGATATATTGTTATGGGCTATAAGTCCTGTGATGTACAGTAGATCTCTTGAACATATTCTTTCTGTCTAACTGAAACTTTATGTGATTTGACCAACATCTCTCCAATTCCCAGTTTCTGGTAACCATCACTTTACTCTCTGTTTCTATGATTCCCCATATAAGTCAGATCATAAAGTATTTGTTTTTCTGCACCTAGCTTATTTCACTTAACATAATGTTCCCTAGGTTTACTCAGTTGCAAATGACAGAATTTCTTTATTTTGAAAACTTAACAGCATTCCGTAGTGAATATATACCACATTTTCTTTATTTGCTCATCCATTGAAAGAGACAGGTGGATTCCATATCTTGGCTATTGTAAATAATGCTGCAATGAACATGGGAGTACAGATATCTCTTCAACATAGTGATTCCATATCTTTTAAATACATATCCCCTATAGTGGGATTTCTGGATTATATGATAGTTCTAATTTTAATTTTTTGAGGAATTTTCTATACTGTTTTCTATAATTGCTGTATTAATTTACATTCCTTCCAACAGTGTACAAGGGTTCCCTTTTCCCCACATCTTCACTTCACCAAGATGTTTTATCTTTTGTCTTTTCAATAATAGTCTTCCCAACATGAGTGAGATAATATCTCATTGTGGTTTTAATTTGCATTTCCTTGATGATTAGAAGAGAGAATCTTGAAAGCAGTCAGAGAAAAGTGACTCATCATGTACAAGGGAGATTCCATAATAGTATCACAAATTTATCAGTAGAAATCTTGTGGGCCACAAGGAATAGGATAATGGATCCAAAGTTCTGAAAGAAAACAACCTGCCAATTAAGAATGCTGCATCTAACAAAACTGTACTTTAAAAATTATGGAGAAATGAAAACTTTCCTAGATAAACAAAAGCTAAGAGAACTCATTACCACCTGACTTGCCTTATAAAAAATACAAAAAGAAGTTCTTCAAGTTGAAATGGAAGAATTCTAGACAAAAACTTGAAAGCACATAAACATAAAAATACAAAGCTCTCTGGTAAAGGTAAATTTTTTGACAAATCTAGAATCCTGTATTATTGTAATGCTGATCATAAATCAGTTTAAATTCTGACATAGAATTTAAAAGACAGACATGAAAAATAACTGTAGATCTATGTTAATAAATATACAATATAAATAAATGCAACTTGCAACAATAATGTAAAGTATAAGGGGTACAAAGCAAAACAGCAGAGTTTGTTGATTCAATTAAAATTGAGTTATTCTCAGTTTAAAATAAATAGTCATAACTTTAAGATGTTTTATATCACCCCCATGATAAGCCCAGAAAAAATACCTATGCAAGATACACAAAGGAAATTGAGAAAGGAATAGAATCATGTAACAAAAAAAAAAAATAAAAATAAATGCAACACAAAGAAAGGCCAGAAGACAGGAAAAGAAAGAAAAATACCTGTAAAAAATGCAACTAAAAATGCTCTGTCAATAGTAAATCCTTCCTGATTAGCAATTACTTTAAGTGTAAATGAATTATATTCTTCAATCAAAAGACATAGGTAGGGTGAATGGATTAAAAACCAACAACAATAAGATCCATCTATATTGTGTCTTTAAGAAGCCCACTTTAGATTTAAGGACAAACATAGGCTGAAAGTGAAAAAATGGATAAAAGTATTGCATGCAAATGTTAATCAAAAGAGAACAGGGGTGGCTATACTTACATGAGACAAAATAGAGTTTAAGTAAAAAACTATCACAAGAGACAAAGAAGGACCTTATATAATGATAAGAGGTCAATTTATCAGGAAGATATAACAATTATAAATAAATATGCACCTAACATTAGAGCTCCTAAATACATGAAGTGAACATTAACAGAATAGATGGTAACACAATAGTAGGAGGCTTCAATACCTCACTCTCTAGAACTGATAGATATACGCAGATCACTCTACTCAACAAAGCAAAATACAGATTCTTTTCATGTGCACACGAAATATTCTATAAGATAGAACACACATTAGGCCACAAAAAAGTCTTCACAAATTTAAGAAGATTGAAATAACACCAAGTATATTTTCTAACAACAATGAATCTAAAAATCAATAGCAGAAGGGAAATTGAAAATTTACAAATATATAAAAATTAACAAAGCATATTCCTAAGGAATCTATCAGTAAAGAAGAAAATACAAGGAATATTTGAAAATATCTTGAGACAAATGAAAATGAAGTCACAACATACAAAACAAAACTTATGGGATGCAATGAAAGCCATACCAAAAGTTAAGTTTATAGTGGCAAATGCTTATATTAAGAAAAGAGAAAGATTTAAAATCAACTGCCTAACTTTACGTCTCAGTGAACTGGAAAAAGAACTAACTAAACCAAAAGTTAGCAGAAGGAAGAGAATATCAAAAATTAGATTGGAAGTGAACAAAATAAAATATAGAAAAACAACAGACAAAAATCAACAAGAGTGTTTTCTTTTTTTCTGAAATATAAACAAAATTGACAAATTTTTAGCTACAATAAGAAAGAAAGAGCACTTAAATACCTGAAATAGGAAGTGAAAAACGAGACATTAAAACTGATGACATAAATATTAAAAGGATCCTAAGAGAGTGCTATGAACAATGATATGTGAACAAATTTGATAGCTTTGAAGAAATGAATAAATTCCTAGAAATGTATAACTTACCAAGACTGACTCATGAAGAAATAAAAATATAAACAGACCTAGCAAGGTAATTGAACCGTTATCAAAAACCTCTGAACAACAAAAAGCCCAGAATCAGACAGCTTCACTAGATAATTCTATCAAATATTTAAAGAAGGATTGACACTAATTCTCCTCAAACTCTTCCAAAAATTTGAAAAGGAGGGAACACTTCCAATTTCATTTTATGAGACCAGTACTACCCTGATCCTGGTACCAAAGCCTGACAAAAATACTACAAGAAAATAAAACTACAGACCAATATCTCTGATGAATAATGATGCAAAAACCCTACCAAAATTCAATAGCACATTAAAAGAATTATGTACAACGACCAAATAGGAATTACTCTTAGAATGCAAGGGTGGTTCAACATATAAAAAATCAATCAACATAAGAGACAACATTAACAGAATGCAGGACCAAAAACCATATGATCATCTCAACTGATGCAGAAAAAGCATTTGACAAAATTCAACATCATTGTATGATAAAAAACACGCAGCAAACTAGGAATATAAGAAAACCACCTCAACATTGCAAAAGCCATGTATGAAACCCTGTAGCTAGCATCATATTCAATGACAAAAAACTGAAAGCTTTTTCTCTAGCATAAGGATCTAGGTAAGGATGCCCACTCTTACCACTTCTAATCAATGTAGTATTCAAAGTTCTAGCCAAAGCAATTTGGTGATAAAAAGAAATAAAGAATATCTAAACTGAAAATTATTAAAATGATCTCTGCCTGTAGAAGACATGACTTTATATGCAGAAAATCCTAAAGATTCTGGGAAAAATCATATTAGAATTAATAAATTCAGCAAAGGACACAAAATTAACATACAAAAATCAGTTGCATTTTAATACACTAACAATGAACAATCTGAAAAGAAAATTAAAATAACAATCCTATTTACAATAATATCCAAAAATACTTAGAAACAAACTTAAGAAGTTGAAAAACTTGTACACTGAAAACTACAAAACATTGCTGAACAAAATTAAAGGAGACACAAATAAATGGAAAGGCATTCTGTGCTTAAAGATTAGAAGACTCACTACAACTAAAATGTCCATAGTACCCAAAGTGAATACTGCAGATTCAATGTATTTCCTATAAAAATCCCAATGGCATTTTTTGCAGAAATAGAAAAAATTATGCTACAATTCAAATGGAATTTCAAAGAATACCAAATAGCCAAAATAATCTTGAAAAAGAAAAAGAAAGTTGTAAGCGTCATACTTCCCGATTTTAAAATCTATTATAAAGCTACAGTAATTAAAGTAGTGTAATAGTGGCATAAAGATATACATATAGATCAATGGAGCAGAACAGAAAGGTTAGAAGTAAACCCTCATACATATAGTTAGATAACCTTGGGCAAATATTTCAAGATTACACGTTAGGGAATGAACAGCCTCTTCAACAAATGGTGTTGAGAAAACTGGATATTCACATGGAAAAGAATGAAGTAGGACCATTGCGTTCCATCATATATGAAAACTAACTCAAAATGGATTAAAGACCTAAACATAAGTTCTAAAACTGTAAAACACCTAGAAGAAAACACAGGGGAAAAGCTTCATGGCATTGGATTTAGCAATGGTTTTTTGGATGTGACACCAGATGAACAAGCAACAAAAGCAACAACAGGCAAGTGGTACTACATCGAACTTAAAATCATTTGCACATCAAAGGAAACAACAACAGAGTGAAAAGGCAACCTACAGGGTAGAAGAAAATATTTGAAAATCATATATCTGATAACAGGTTGAGATC
Source organism: Homo sapiens (assembly GCF_000001405.40). Taxonomy (NCBI): domain Eukaryota; kingdom Metazoa; phylum Chordata; class Mammalia; order Primates; family Hominidae; genus Homo; species Homo sapiens. The sequence goes on from NC_000003.12 coordinate 111,264,868, forward strand.
CAGAATATAACAACAACAAAAACAATTAACAAATGGATGAAGGATTAAACACACACATCTCCAAAGAAGTTATACAAATGGGCAAGGAACATATGAAAAGATGCTCAATATCACTTAATCATTAGAGAAATGCAAATCAAAACTACAGTGGGATATTACGCCACACTTATTAGTATGACTACTATCAAAAAAACAGAAAATAACAAGTGGGGATGAGATTATGGGGAAACAAGAACCCCTGTGTACTGTTGGTAGGAATGTAAAATGGTGCGGCTTCTGTGAAAATCAGTATAGAGTTTCTTTAAAAAAATTAGAAATACAATTACCATATAATTCAGTAATCCCTCTTCTGGGTATATATCCAAAATAGTTGAAAGTAGGATATCTTGAGCTATTTACACACCCATGTTTGCTGTAGAATTATTCACAATAGCCAAGAAATAGAAGCAAACCAAGTGTACACTGATGGCTATATGGACAAAGAAAATGAGGTATATACATACAAAGGAGTATTGTTCAGCCTTATGAAAGAAGGAAATCCTGTCACTTGCTACCATATGGATGAATCTTGAAGGCATTTTGCTAAGTAAAATAAGTCAGTCACAAAAAGGACACTGTATAATTCTGCTTATATTAGGTATCTAAAGTAATCAAACTCACAGAAACAAAGTAGGATTATTGTTGCCATGGGCTGTTGGGATGGGGAAATGGGGAATTATTCAATACGTATAATGTTAGTTTTGCATGATAAAAATTTTCTAGAGATCTGTTTTGTGACAATGTGAATATAGTCAACATTACTGGATCATACACTTAAAAATGGTTACAATGTTAAAAAAAAATCAGCTGGACATATTTGTGTGACCTTATTTACGGTTTCTCTACTCTGTTCCATAGCTTAATGTGTGTCTGTCTCTACCAATCTCACATTGTCTTAAGTTCTCTAGCTATAGAGTAAGCCTTCCTCTTATAGGGTAGAGAGACTCTTTTCACTTATTTTTTATTATTATTGGTTTAGCTATTTGGGGCCAGTGCCTTTTCATATAAATTTTAGAGTAAGCTTATATATGTTGACAAAAATTCTTGCTGAGATTTTAATAGTAATTTTATTAAACTTATAGATCAATTAAGAAAGAATGACATCTTTATTATGTTGAGCCTTTGAATCCATAGGCATGGCATGTCTCTCCATTTACTTAGTTTTTTTATTTCTCTTATTATGTTGTAATTTTTGCATAAAAGTTCTGTACATGTTTTATCTATTCTGTTTTCCTTGGAACAATTTGAATAATAGTGTAGTTTTAATTTCAGTTTCCACAAATTCATCGTGTGCATATAGAAATACAATTCATTGTTTATGTATTGGCCTTGTATCCTCTGATCTTACTGAACTCACTTATTAGTTCTAGGGTTTGATGGTTTGTTAATTAATTAATTAATTTTTATTTATTTATATACAGATAAGAATGAAATACATAAGTGGGGATAGTTTTAATTCTTACTTTCCAACCTGTGTGCATTTTTATTGTCTTATTGCAGTGGCTACAATTTCCAGTAATGTTTAATACTATTTGTGAGATTAGGTATCCTTGCCTTGTTCTGATTTGGGGAAGGAATGTAGTTTTTCATTATTATGTAAAATTACAGCTTTAGAAATTTTTATATGGTTCTGTGCAAAATGAGGACACTTAGAAGTCGATATAGAAATGAAAATTTTATTTTGACAGCTTTCTTCTATTGGCAATTTTTAAACCCATTTACCCAAGCTCCCCTTTTCCCAACTCAAATCATATCATCCCAAGTTTCCCTGTCTGTTAGCTTAATTGCCTCCCATTATCTCCCCAATAGCCCCTTGGCACTGCTGCAAATCAGGCTGGTAGACAAATCCCTGTGATTGGGGGAGAAAATGAGTGGTTTTAACAATGGCTGATAGAGGTCACATGTCCACCATCAATATCTTCCTAGTAGCACCTCAGCAATGAGAGTCCATCCAGGTTTTGGGCTTGCCATGCTTTCTCTCAGAAAAAACAATCTCCCTTTCTCTAGTGCTAAGGCAGTTTCCATTTTGTCATGATGAACTGGATGCAATTCTGTATGAAGAGAGAAGGCTGGCTAAACAATTTCTGAGCATATAAATCCATGATATTATTATTAATCAGATAGAAACATACTACAGCTTAAAATATGTTTTCCTATAATGATACTTAGTATGTCTTAGCAGCTTAGTAGTTGCAACAACCTCCTAATTACCAAGCAGTAATTATTAATTTCCCCTTCATAAATAGAGGAACTATACTTCTTGCCTCTTTTCTTTTTCCTTTTTTTCTACTTCAACTAACACTGATCAAGCACTAGATACTGGAGTGGTAGAGAGAAACCCCTGGGCAATAAAATGGGGTAAAACACTTATTTCGATCATCTTTAAAGATTCACATTTTATGATGGAGAATAATTCACAAAATAAAAGGATAAAAAGCAAACCTCAAGGTCATAAATGTAAGGGCTCTGTCTCATAGTACTAGGTAGACCCACACACTGTCAAATGCTACTTGATGCTTTGCCATGTTATCTCTCCCAATCTTCCCCCCAACAACCCTAAAAGATAGGTATTATTTCACCTATTTTATAGCTAAGGAAGTTGAAGTAGTGTGGCCATCATTATAAGGCTAATAATAGGAAGGGTTCAGTTTTGAAACTAACTCTATCTCATTCCAAAGCCTGGGTTCTTTCTACTACACTGTGCCAGCTTCATACTAAGTTCAGAGAATGGAAAAATGCCCATTTACTGGACAATAATAGAAGAGTTCATAGAAGAGTTAACTTAGGACTCAGGCCCTGAAGGATGATCAGAGTTCTGGGTAAGTGGAAGGAGCTAGTCATAAGAGTGCAATTCAGGAACAAGACCCCACCCCCCCCAAAAAATAAAAAAGGACAGAATTTTGGTCATAGCATGCAAATATATCTTCAAGTTGAATCATGTGGCTGTTTTTGCTATTGTAACATTTCTGTGGGACTCAGTGGGACATCAAAAGGAAAGGGGACTTGGAAGCAGAATATAGAGTTATGAATGACAGGCTTAAACATCTGTATTTTATGGTCAACCTTAAGTGAAAATTTCAGTAGTTTGTTACATTAATAACCTGAATGAATCATGACTTCTGGTATACCATATACTTGTGTGGTTTCTTTCCCACATTGACTCTGGGTTTGGCCATGTGACATGTTGTGTGACTTTGGCCAATGGAACATCAGTGATATAGTTTGGATGGTGTCCCTGCCCAAATCTCACGCTGAGATGTAATTCCCAATGTTGGAAGTGTGGTCTGGTAGAACATGATTTGATCATGGAGGCAGATTTCTCATGAGTGTTTTAGTACCATCCGCTTGGTATTGCCCTCATGATAGTGAGTGAGTTCTCATGAGATCTGGTTGTTTAAAAGTGTGTGGCACTTCCCCTGTCTCGCTTGCTCCTGCTGCCACCATGTGAAACTCCTGCATCCCCCTTCGCCTTATGCCATGATTGTAAGCTTTCTGAGGCCACACCAGGAGCAGATGCCACCATTATACTTCCTGTACTGCTTGTAGAACCTTGAGCCGATTAAACCTCTTTTCTTATAAATTACCCAGTCTCAGATATTTCTTTATAGCAATGCAAGAATGGCCCAATAAAATCAGCAAATATGATGTAAGCAGAGACTTAATAAGCACTTATGTATTGAAGTGTGTCCTCTTCAAAGGCAGCTGCCTCAATGTAAGAAATGTGGAAAAGTCATGTGGAAGAGAACCAATGTGCCCCAGTTGGCAGATCTAGTTATGTAAGCCATCTTGGACCATCCACCTAGTCATGCTGCCATGAGTGATCTTAGGTAAGATGGGCTGAAGAACTGATCAGTCCAGCCAAAACTGGAGAATTATGAGCCAACAAATTTTTGTTTTAAGTCACTAAATTTCAGAATAGTTTGTTAAGCACCAACAAATAACTGACTCACAGGTATGAAAACTCATTGAGAACAGGGCTTATGTCCCATATGTTTAGATTAATAACCTCCTGGCTATTTCAGTTACTCTGCAGAAATGAAGGCAGAGCTACAGTTACCTGGCAAAGATGGGACCACTTAACACAAAGTCAGGCATTGTCTATGAGGGAGGGATATAGAGGGGCCTCCTAACAAGCCCTTGAATTATAATGATGGGTCACTGAGAGACAAACTTACATTGAACCCAACAATAAATTGTTGGCCAATTCAAAATCTCTCCCAGCTCTATGATCATTCAAATGTTGTTGAGATTTCATCTTGCATATTATATATTAATTTAAAAATACATTTTCATTGAGAGAATGTAATATTAAAATGAACAACTTTATGATCCATTTCATTTTGCTTCTTGCAGTCTGGTTAACAATCCATTTTAATAAGCAAGAGGCTGCAGAACTACTGTCCGCTTATGTAAATGAGAAGGTACACTCATCTTTATTCTTCACTGTAATTACCTTTTATTTATTTTTGAAAGCTTCCTGAATTTCAGCTCATTGTTCAATTGGGAATCATATCTTGTCTATTCGGAACAGTTATTTTAATTTCCAGATTCTGAACAGACATTATTTCTGTGATTCATTTCACTCTGCCTTTTTTGCTTTGGTTTTACTGAATGTAATTTATGTCTTTTTCCCCTCCATGCCTACTAAAAATTACTTTAACTGTGAGGTCCTTGTCTTTCCTCTCTCCTTTTTTACTTCCCACTTTAATTCTCAATAGAAAACCTCCCTTTAGCATAAAGAAAATGCAAATTTTGTGGGGTAAATTTTTGCTCTCTACTGTTTTTATTTCATGCATGATTACCTTGAGGCTTTAGTTTACAAGCCCTCCAAAAAGAAATATTACACACCAAATGAAATTACCAATAGCTCCAGGAATATGAAGTGATGAGAGAGCATTTTATTCCATACAATCTTCAAAATAACTGGTATCCAGAACAATACAACATGTGTCAAGATGACTCATGAAAGTCTCTAATAGAATGGAGAAGAAGCTTGAAAATGAATGCAGCAGCATGGTGTAAAATTGTGCACTATGAGGTATTAACACCCTTCTGGAAAATACTATGAATCATGTTTCAAACTAGTCATTCTCAAATGTTATCCATATCTTCCCCTTAGAGCTATCATGACGTCCTCTGTCCCTCATTTGCCCTCACTGTCCCTCGACCAGATGCAATCTATCTTCCTAGAATTACAGCACATTCAAAGATATAAGGTGTGTGAAGAAGAGTTCCCAGATACATTTCAAAAAGAAATCTGTGATCTTCTCTGAAGTGGAGCCTTCTCAGGTCAGTGTGAGCCCCTGGTTTTCAGGAGTATGAAACTGGGAGAAGTTAGCACGTTGGACCAGCGTTGTACCATGAAACAGAGCCAAATTCCAGATGATTATCTATGGCAGTAGGTGCACTTAATTCTTTATATGCATATACCTACACTATGAGCCATAAAAGCTGACTGGAGTCATGGTTAATTTTTTTTAATCAGATAGCTGCCATTATTTTTCGTATGTAAAGGTATACAAAACAAACGTGTGTCATTGAATTTAGCACATATAATACCGAACTTAGCTGGGAGGATTTTAGTTGCTAATGTGCTAACAGCGTTTTTGTTTGTTTGTGGTTTTTTGTTTGTTTGTTTGTTTGTTTTTGTTTTTGTTTTTTAGATGGAGTTTCACTCTTCTTGCTCAGGCTGGAGTGCAATGACATGATCTGGGCTCACCCCAACCTCCGCCTCCAGGGTTCAAGCAATTCTCCTGCCTCAGCCTCCCAAGTAGCTGGGATTACAGGCATGCACCACCACGCCCGGCTGATTTTGTATTTTTAGTAGAGATGGGGTTTCTCCATGTTGGTCAGGCTGGTCTCGAACTCCCGACCTCAGGTGATCCACCCCCGTCCCGGCCTCCCAAAATGCTGGGATTACAGGTGTGAGCTACCGCACCTGGCCAACAGTGTTCTTAAGTTACTTCAAACATAATTCTTGAGCTTAGATTCTCTATCTGTGAACTTAGGAAATATGTACTTCATTCCTCTTCAGGCAGGGCTGTCCAATTTTTAAGAAACAGAGACCCAATCAAATCAGAAGATCAAATAAAGGTGGGAGGATATTGTAAGATACAGAGCACATGGGATATACAAGGATTGGAATGACAATAACTAGATCTTATTGAAATGGTAAGTCACCAGAAATCAAAGCTGCTTTCTCCATTCTTTGGGGCCTGATGATCTACCAGCTCAGATCTCCTGTGCATGTACTCTCTATTCTCCTTTCTTTAAATATTCATTTATTTTACTCATCAGCTTCCAAGTGCCCCCCACTAAATTGCTAAGATATTCCCTAATCTAACCACTTAGAAACTGTGGGTGTTGGGGGCAGCCCATAAAATATATGAACTAACTTTCCACCTCAGGGGGAAGTGAAGATGGGTTAAGTCGATAGAGGAAAACACTGTAATCATACTATTGACATCATAAAAAGCAATACAATCATCCCTTGGTGTCCACGTGGATTGGTTCCAGGACCCTCAGTGGATTCCGTTGTCTGCAGATCCTCAAGTCTTTTATATAAAATGGAATAGTATTTGCATCTAACCTATGCACTTCCTTCTCTATATTTTAAGTCATTTCTAGATTACTTTTAATAACAAATACAATGTAAATGCTATATAAATAGTTGTTATATTGCATATTAAAATTTGTATTATTTAAAATTTTTAAGATAGTCTCAATTTGTGTTTGGTTGAATCCGGACATGTAGAACCCATGAATACGAAGGGCCCACTCTAGTGTTAACAGTTTTCTGTGTTGAAATGACACAGTGGTGCTATACATCACTGGAAGCAAAAGCAAACTTTTGGCCCATGGCATAATTAAAATTTCAGTGTAGTAGCAGTTTGAAATTGATGTTTTCTATTTATTATCATATTCTGTATGTGACAGAGGGCAAAAAGAGGGATTTTTAGCTAGAAGTTAGGCAGAAGTAATTGTTAGAAAACATTAAATAGAATATTCTTCCATTTAGAGTGCTTTAAAAGTTTGAGAGGCTATCTCATTTAGTAGTAAGTTGTCAGTCACTGGAGATGTTTAATCATTTCAGTATTAAAAGAGTATCTCCCAATTTTAATATTCCAATTCTCTGACTATACATTGGAGCTAACTGGTGTACCAAAACAAATGAACTATTGACAAATACTTAATGCATAACACATACACAGCTAAAGCTAAAATTGTGCATTTTTTTTCTTGATAGGGTCCAGTGTAGCAAGTAAGCTACATCACTCTCTTGAACAGGACAGCTTATTCTGATTGTGATACCAGATGGGCAGGTAATGTCAAGGTTAGCATCCTGTAATAAACATTAGAGAATCTCACCTACGTTTTGCTTAATAAAAACCTATTTCATGTCCACATCAAAACTCAGGACCATCATCAATCCAAACATAGAAAATCAGCATCTTAGACAGGTTTGAAAGAGCTCAGTCTTAAAGTGGTCCCTATAAAGTATCTATCCAAAGTATAGCTGACAAATGATGATTAAAAAAAAAAAAAGACAGGCTAAGAGGTATTTATTCATTTATCCAGGTTCTTTAAACCTTATTCTTGTATAAAATAACATGATCAGTATGGTATGGACAAGGACTGCTATCTTAACTTCCCAGAAACCTGCCTTCGTGTCAAACTTTAACTTCATGCTGTGGATTTTTCTTAAATTTTCATATAAAAAAGCACTATTTGAAAAAAATTTCAGTGGCATCTACAAAAGCTGTTATTTTTCATTGTGCCTACTCTACTGCTCACTGTTTCCTAATAATGGAAAATGGAAAACTATTGTTCAGGAATTTGGTACCAAGAAAATGTCTCCCCAGGCAAAATTGGGTGTCTTTTTAACATCATTATATAATGCTGTGTTTAACTTTTGCCTTGGTCACTTGGAAGTTGTGAGCTAAAATAAGTATTTAATTGTAGTAATGGTCTCCTTCTGGATGTGGTTATCTGGATGTGGATTCTTTCTTCTCTAATTTTTTTTTTTTTTTTTTTTTTTTTGAGACGGAGTCTCACTCTGTCTCCCAGGCTGGAGTGCAGTGGTGCAATCTTGGCTCACTGCAAGCTCCACCTCCCGCCTCCGCCTCCCGCCTCCCGCCTCCTGCCTCCCACCTCCCGTGTTCACGCCATTCTCCTGCCTCAGCCTCCCAAGTAGCTGGGACTACAGGCTCCCGCCACCACGCCTGGCTATTTTTTGTATTTTTAGTAGAGGATCTTCTCTAATTTTATTTAGAAAGACTTTCGATATATGAATTTAAATCATACAATATTTATTTTAGAAGCAGATACAATATAAATTAAAAAATTAGAGGAATGAAGAAGACAGCTTCCGAACCAAATAGGCTATCAAATCAGTTAATATTATAAAACATTTCAGAGAGACCTTGATATTTGAAACATGGGTGTTTCTGTGAGTCTGCCCTAACCCCACCTTCCCTAACAGACTAGCATATTTATTAATCATTGATAAAAAATATCTATTGACAAGAGTGAAAACTAACTTTAAAATGTAATCTGTGGTGCATTGCGAAGAAGGCTAAAGTTGCCAACCAGAGTAAATACCTACTTTATTATAATTTGAGATTTGTATTCCACATACTCTATTATGTATTTATGATTAGAATTATCACAGGTTTAGTCTTGCCAGGGTTTATACTTTAAGCATTGACCCCTTTATCTGGAGGATGAGGGGTGGGGAAGTTGGACAGAGTCACCATATCCTCTTATATTGACCCTGGAGGATAACCATTCTCAGATGGATAAAAGAAAACAAAAACCAGCCTCCAAAAAACTATACAATGTTCGATAATAATAGTGACTTTATAAAGAATATGTACGTTTTCCTTCATACTTATTAGAAAATGATTACTATTGATGCCTTGATCACTTTTTTTTTTTTTGAGACAGAGTCTCGCTCTGTCACCCTGAGTGCAGTGGCACCTCTGAGTGCAGTGGCACGATCTCAGCTCACTGCAACCTCCGCCTCCAGGGTTCAAGCGATTCTCCTGCCTCAGCCTCCCGAGTAGCTGGGATTACAGGTGCCTGCCACAATGCCTGGTTAATTTTTGTATTTTTAGTAGAGATGGGGTTTCACCATATTGGCCAAGCTGGTCTCGAACTCCTGACCTCAGGTGATCCACCCACCTCAGCCTCCTAAAGTGCTGGGATTACAGGCATGAGCCACCATGCCTGGCTGATGCCTTGAGCACTATTGTACCCTTGTTGCCTGACATACATCTTGGGACATGATATACTCACAATTAATATTGTGATAAGTGTGTTGACTGAAGTACTGATGAAAAGGCAGATTTTGGTTTGCAACAGAAGCAAAATAAGATGAAGCAGTGATTTTGAATGGATAGGGAGAAATAAAAGTAATGGTGAAGAGGTTTGCTTAGATGAGCAAGACAAAGTTCCAGCTAGGAGTAGGCTCTTGCAGGAAGCTATTAATTATCTAATTTTAATATACCATAGGAATGCAACATAAAATGTTACAACTGCTTTCTTCCCCATATATCAGGCATAACTGCACAATCAGGTTTTAATTACGGTAGGCACAACTTAGAAAACACGAGCATGTTTTCCACAGCTTTAAGGAAATTTCAGCCACTAAAATATGCACTAATTAACTTCATTTGTGAGACTAGGTGATTTGTCATAACTTCTGTTATTTCCTCTATCAATTTAAAAACACGGGTACCAAGTCTTTTTGAATAAACAGGAAATATTCTGCTGGTAATAATCCACAATCTCATCATTCTTTGTTTGGGTTTATTACCCACGGCCAGGAGACAGACTCACAACTACATTTCCTATCTGTTTTTTCTAGATGAACGTTTATTAATATTACGTATTGTCCAGATCAAAATGCTGTATTCAGAGCAGCTTGGTGGGTCTAGTTTGACCACCGGTATAATGTGAAGAAACCTGGATTCCTGGTTCAGACCACCTCCTTACTAGACATAAAATTTTTAGCAAGCCACTAATTATCTCTGTGACTTTCTTCACCTAGAGAGAGCAAAATGGATAGAAGACCAAATGGGCTGACGTAAGTGAATGTGCTTTGGGAATGAAAAAGAGGGTATTAAAGGTGTGCGAAGCATGTAGGAGATTCAAAGGAGAATGCAGAGGGGACATCTTATCCACTAAAGTTTTGAAAGGTTGTGAGGGTGCAGTGTTGCTCTCTTCTTGGGTAAAAAGGCAGAATGTGATGGAGTTTGGTGTGCCACTGTCAGAGTTGTTCACCTGCCAGTGAGAAAGGCAATTGCATTATTATTTCTTCCCCATTCCTGTGTCTGTGAGAAAATTCTCCATTACTACCAACTATCCAGTATTGATCACCTGATTTTTACTGTCATCCATTGCAGACTTACTATAATCCTGGGACAAAAACACATTAAGAGGAAGATGGATCAATAGTTCTCAAAGGAAAAAGATGGCAGCAACCTATAAGAAGATCTGAGCTTCTAGGAATGATGGGCTATTTTTTCTATTTTTCAGAGACTTTTATAGCTTATAAATACTTATCAGAAGAAATTAGTTCCACAGAATGACAGTGAAGTTGTGATCACATCCCACCAAATTGTAATTTTATATCCCCTTCCTTCACCAAGGTTAAATTGCACCTTCCCACGCTACAATGTTTTCCATGCACTTTGCAACTTAAATAATAAATGATGCATGATTTAAGATGACAATTATTCTTTGAATACAAATCTCAAGAATAATGGTGATCATTATTCTCAAGAACAAGCATAGCAGAGCATACCAAGAGAGCAGTGTTCTTTTCTTGCTATTTTTCTTCTTGCTGATTTTTTTGTATTTTGTATATTTTTTTCTGAATCACAACTTCATTCTTTAATTTGTAACCTTCAAGAACCACCTAAAGTCATTAAACCTTTAAAGAGCCATGATAATCCAGGAGAGGTTGTTCTATGTGGACACAAGAGAAAAATAAATGAAGGGATTCAGCTTTAAGATTAATTTCTGGGGATTAAAAAAAGTCCCAAACTATTGAATAAAAGTTAATTTCAAGATTATGCCTTATTTTAATACTTTCAAATTTAAATTATGTATTCTTGCTGCACAGGGCATACATTTTGTCTAAACTCAGTGTATTCAACAGAATTTGTTAAACACTTCCATATGCCCAGCTCTGCTCCATGCAGGAACCTTTTTCTTTCATTCACGGATATCTGAAGAGCCTATTTCAGGCAGGCGACTGGACTCCCCTGCAAACTTTTTCCTCTAATCCCCTGGATATCCACCAGGGTCCACACCAGAACCAGTATTCCATGGTTTCTCAAGGAGATTTCCTTGTACTGAGTGAGAGACTCCTTCCAATTTGGGGGTTGCCGAGCAGAAGTTTTGGTGGAAAACATAGGGAAGTGAAACTTTGGTTAGAAGAAAACCTGCTTTTCCTTCTTACCACCTCCCCTTACTGCTTTTCCTCAAACAAACAAATACAGGTGTGCTAGTCTTTAAGGTGATTTCACCTTCTTGCTCAATCTTCCTCCCAGTTTTCATTCTGTTTTTCTCCCTATCTCTTCCTCTCCCCTACTCTCTGTCTCCTGCCTTCACTCCCTCCCTCTCTCTCCCTCTCACAGTCTGCTTCCTCTCTCCTTTATAGACCATAATATATTTCCTTTAATCAATATGGAGTATCTTGGAAACTAAGGTGAAACCAAAATCTGGCTTGGAGCCCAGTCATCACTTTCTGAAGTGACAAGCTCTGGTAATAGGGGAGGGTTTGCAATTATACAGATCATTGCTTCGACCTGGTGCAAAGTCAACCAGGCCACAATACAAGAACAAAAAGGCTTAATTTCTGCAGCTTCCAAAGTGCTCTGAGCATTGCCTCAGTAGACATTGACCTGTCTGCTGTGCTAGCTAGCTCATTTTGCTCTTCTTCAATTGAAACCCCAAGATAATCAGCTCAGCTCGTTTGCTGTTCCCCTTGTGATCTTCTGCCTTGTAAAGTGAAAGTTAATGTCCCTATTACATACATTCCTTTTCCTCACTATCTACCAAAAAATGATTTGCACAAAAAAGTACCCTTTTAATGGTGCAAGGCTCTATATCCTAAGTATCTGGTTAGTTGTACCTTTTGCATCTTGGTATCAGCTTTGATAGCTTTAAAAAAGGCACTTTCTAATCTTCCTTTGAAATAAAATTTCTCCTTTCAGGCTAGCTTAGTATGCAATTTATGTAGAATACAGTAGAGAAGTTGCGTTCTTTCAAAATATATTAAGGCTTTCTAATCACTTTCAAAGTAAAACAAGAGTGGGAACTCAAATTATATGAGTGTGTTTGTCACCCAGATAAGGAGAATGCACGGGCTGTAATTGAACCCCTTATCACGATTCACTTTGACTTTCCCAGTTCAGCTTGTCTTGAGGCATTTCTCTTTCTTTAAGCTTTGAGGAATTAGAAATTTAAACGAGATGTGAAAGACGAAAGACAGGAGGGGGAGCTCTCCTGTGAGAATGCTTCACATTTCTGGACTCAGCAGTCATGGGGACCAGGAGAAAGCTGCCTGAGTTAAGAGAAAGAAACAAAAGCATTCTTCAAGAAGAAGCAGACAGTCTTTGGCAGTTTGCAAAGTCTTAAGAAGTCAAAATGTGAACTACTGAATCATTTGCAGTTTTAGGACTTACTTGTAGATTATTTATGAGCTGATTACACTTATTTCTTTTTATTTTTTCTTTCTCCATCTTCTAAGGCAATTTTTAAAAAGTGTTTAAATTTATTTGGCTTCATCTTCCTGCTTAGTCTACCTTTTCTGTTTTCTATGTCTTGAGAATACAAATAATTGCACTTTGATGTAGCAGTTGTCATGCTGAGTTTCTCCTCTCAAGGGGTAGGTGTTTGTAGTAAACAGCCTCCCTTCATCCATCCTTTAGAGCCTGATTTAGAGCACATCTGTGGTTCTTCCACACACCAGGACTTCATTAGCCTCACTTTTTGCTAATACTCAAGGTAAATAACGACAACCACCACCACCACAACAAAGCATTTAAAAAGTTATGTGGGTGCACTAAGGTTTGGATTATGAGCATATTCCCCCAGTGTCTCTCTTCTTTTATTTTAATTTCTAGTTGCTGTGCTCATAAAGTAACTCATTGCTGTGAAGCAGGTGAGGAGTGGGCTTTTTCACTTTGGTGACTATATTTAGGGCCTATTCTGAATGTAGGTTGATCTAATCTTGGGCTTCTTAACTAACTACATCTGCAAAGATCCTATTTCCAAATAAGTTCACATTCTTAGGTTCTGAGTTGAAATCGATTTTGGGGTAACATTATTCAACATTCTATAATAGTAGAATCATAGGATATAAAGGCTGGAATTAAGGAAGAGAAATCACCAAGTTTAGGCCCTTTATTTTGTAGATGAAGTAACACAGGATGAGATACTCAAACTTACTTAGGTAGTAAATTATAGAGGTTTGGTTTCATTTTTTAACCTGAACACTAGATACGCTAGGCTACATTGGAAGAGGAGTGAATTTTAGAGGAAAAGAGAATGTAGAAGTTTTAAAAATTGGCTACAAACTCTTTGACACTACTCCCGTTGAGAGCTGAGGTAAGATCTATGAACGCTCCCATGAGTGTAGAAGGACTTTTGACCCTTTGACCATTAGAATGTGGTGGTGATGATGCTGTGAGACTACTGAGGTGGGCTTAAAAAAGTGAGGAATCTCTGCCTTGTTCACTGAAACACTTAAATTTGGAGGCTTGTACCACCATGTGAGAAGTGAGGCCCCCATAGTGTAAGGAAGATCACATGGACAGACCCAGACTAGGCAGGCCAGACATGCGTGAAGGAGCCTCCAGAAGGCTCTACTACCAGCCATCATCACCACCATCTTTACGTCTTCTTAGATGATGTGCCAGACATCAGGAAACAGAGACAAGCCATCCTTGCTGTGCCAGCTGCTATTGTACTTATTAATCCATGCATGTGATAAACTGGTTGTGTTTGAAATCATTCCTTTTTGAATAGATTGTTACACAGCAATAATTACTGGAATAAACTCACCTGTGTGATAATCAGATAACAATTATATCCTATCTCTATTCTGCCAGCCAGAGAAATAAGTACTAAGAGTTAGGACAGTTTAACTCCAATAAGGATAGAATCTCTGGGGATGCATGCTGGTGAATGCTGGCCTCACTGAGAGAAGGAGCTCACCACATGGCTGTGGGAGAGGCTGTGTTGCTTGTTCATCACCATTTGTAAATTTAGTTGCAGCTGCTTCATGGTCCTGGGAATGGCCACATATTTGTTGTTTTTCTGAAAACCCAACTGGAGAGTACATATTGAAAGGATTGAGTTTGCTCTTAAAGAGCAATTGAACCTGAAAATTTATAAAACTCTTTCTACTGGGTTTTCTGTGGTGAAAATAAATGAAAGGTAATGTGAACTCCTTGAAGACAATTAAATAAGGTACTGTGAAGGGCACTATATATATTTAAAGAGTTCTCAGGAAAGTCTCTCTTAAGAGATGGCATTTGAGTTGAGTCCTGAATGAAACATGGAGTTCTAGCAAAGAGTACGAGCTGCAACATTGGCTAGCATAGCTTGGTGTCTGAAGGTGGCAGACCTATTTAAGGGCCAAGCACGTATAAGATTTCTACTTATGCTACATTCTAAATTTAATGAGTACTTATTGAGCACAAGTTTAAACTTGTTCTGGTTAGGGATCACTGCTGATTCTAATGTTTCTTAGTGCTAAGTACCCCAGTAGACCAGAGTCTTCCAATTCTATTATGGGTAGTTGAATTCTGAGCAGATGAAATGTGTGTTTTGAGACTATACCTAGGGGCTAAAGTGCCCCCAGAGTTTATTTTAAACAAAGTTTAAAATTAAGCCTTAAAATTATGCTCTATTAAAGAGTGGCATTTATGATGCCTGTTGGGGAAAAACCTACCATCAGTTACCCTCTATGAAGAAAGCACAGAGCAAATAAAAATAAATGGATGAGTGAACAAACAAATACATACATACTATGCCTGGATAGAGACCCCCAAAAACACTTAGGTAAATGTAATAAAACATACTTATTTTATAACCTATGTCTGATAATGTGAGCATCAGCGTTCTTTTAGATCTGATTCTCAACTTAGTTATTTCTGTTGTTACCCATGCTCTCTTATTTTTTGAGTGTTTAGTGCACTGCTTTTAAATTTTCAAAGTTTTAAAATTTAAAATTTTAAATTTATTGTTAAATGAGATTCCTTAAAACTTTGTGAAGTTTTGTTCAATTTGTGTATAAAGTTTGCTTACCAGAGAGCTTTTGTGTTTACTTCTGCTAATCAGAACCACGTTACCATGGGTCAGAAAACTTTCTCTATAAAGGACCAGAAAGTGAATATTTTAGGTTTTGTGAGCCATACTGTACCTGATAAAACTTCTCAACCCTGCCATTATAGTGCAAAAGGATCCATAGACAATATGTAAAGAAATGAGCATGGGTATGTTCCAATGAAACTTTTTTTGACACTGAAATTTGAATTTCACATCATTTTCATATGTCACAAAATATTTTCTTCTTTTTATTTTATTTCAACCATTTAAACATGTGAAAACCATTTTAGCTCATGGACTGTACAAAAGCAGATGGCAAACTGGATTTGGCCTGTTGGCCATAGTTTGCCAACTCCTGTTTTAAACAAAATTTTTAGTGTGTGATATTTTGGAGGTATTATAATCAGAGAGAATTCTAGCCCCAAATATGTGTCAGAATAAAATTGTGTTTAAGATTTCAGGAGAATTATTTTTTTTCCTATGCCAGAGATAAGACAGATAAATATCCCTACTACCTCACTCTGTGGGCAGGATTTTTCCTACTTTACCCACGGGTGCTTCCAGGGGCCTGGCTTGAGGCAGATGTTCCTGATCTGAACTCCTACGATACCTATGATTCAGGTGGTCTCCTCTTGGTCTGCTAAAGCCAAGTTCTAGGCCATTAGGATTGGTAGAGAACAAATGCTAATTTGGTACTTCTGGATGACAAATTCTAATATCCCATTTATGGATTTGAGGGTTCTCTTTTATTCTAACCTCTAAGGGTATCTCTTACTTTCCAGCCAACTCAGCCATGCATTTAAAAAAAAAATGGTTTTTACGTATTACCCTGAACTTTGATGTTCTAGATACCTAAAAATATTGCTAAAAACAAAAAGCTCTTTGGACTGTTTGTTGTGTGCTTTTCCCAGTATTCTACCCAGGTTTATGTTCATGCTATTTTAGCAGGTTGGTTGTGCTTAGGAACAAAGCACTGGGGAAAGAAAGAAAATGTCTAGAGATCTCATATGCATCCTAGAGGGGAAGCAGGGATGGAGTTACCAAGGGTTAGAATGAAAAAAAATGTGACAAACTTTTAGA